>NC_000001.11:235881091-236032606 GCF_000001405.40 Homo sapiens
AACTGGGGTTCCTAACTCCAAATTTCTAAGCAGGTCATAACGAAGTGGTAACTACAAAACTTACCAACTGGTTATCTTAAAAGAATTTTCTCCTTAGAAGTATTTTGCCAGAGTTTAATTTTAGACTGCAAGTGTTATTCACACTGTCACGTTTCAACAGGTTTGCAAGTTCTTCTGTGTGGAAAACATACTTTTACCACAGGGAAGAGTCAGATGTTCTTTGCAGAGTCTTTGCTGTGCTTTAATTACCTAAAATTACTCCTTGGAAGTTTGTATATAGCTACATTACCACATTGAAGATGCATATTTAACATGCACAATCGGCTTTGAGGAAAAATAATAGGGGTGTGAATTACCATACCATCCAACAATTCCACTTCCGGTACATATCAAAGAGCGAAAGCAGGATCTCAAAGAGATATTGGTACACCCATGTTCATAGCAGCATTATTCATAAAAGCCAAAGGGGAAGCAATGCAAGTGTCCATTGATAGATGAATAAAGAAAATGTGATATATTATATATATCACTGTGTGTGTGTATATATATTTACATACACGTACATACATATATATATGCAATGGAATATTATTCAACCTTAAAAAGAAAAGAAATTCTGACACATGCTACAACATGGATGAATCTTGAAGGTATGCTGCTGAGTGAAAAAAGCCTCTCACAAAAGGACAAATCCTATATATATCATGTATGTAGAATAGCCAAATTCGCACAGACAGGAAACAGAATGGTGGTCGCCAGAAGCTGGGGGATAGAAGGAAATGAGGAGTTAGTGTTCAATGGGTACAAAATTTCAGCTGGGGAAGTTTAAAATGTCCTGGAAATGGATAGTGGTGGTGGTTACACAAGAATGTGAATGTACAGTTAATGCCACTAAACTGTACATTTAAAAATGGGTAAGACGATAAATTTTATGTTATGTATATTTAAACACACACACTCACACATACACACACACACTCTTTCTTTCACACACACACACACACACACACACACACAAATAGGAGGCAGAATACTTAACCCAGATCTGGAGGAAGGAGGATCGGGAAGGCTTCACAAAGGAGATGGCTTTGTCTTGAAAAAAGAGGAGGAGTTTGGCAGGCAGGACAAGAGAAAGATATTCCAGGCTGAGGGAATAGCATAGGAAGTAAGGAGGCAATTCCAAGGTCATATTAGGAGAACAGCAGGTAATCCAGGTGATGACAGTCCTGGACTCTTGCAGGTGATGAAGCTGCAATGGCAGAGGGAGCCGATCTTGAAAGCTCCTGTGTGCCATGCGGAAGCTTTGGACTTTATTCCATAGGTACTGGGCAGCTACTGGAGTCCATTAAGCTGGATATATGCCCAAGCTTGCATTTCAGAAAGAGAATGTGGGCAGTTGCCTGAAGAGAGGATTGGAGGTGAAAGGGACTAGAGGCAGAGACAATGGTGAGGAGACTCTTGCAGTAGCCCAAGAGAAAGATGATGAGGGCCCCAGCTGAGGGTATTGGAAATGGAGAAAGGTGTTAAGAGTGTGTAGGAACCTACAAGAGGTGGTGAGTGGAAGCTAACGATGTGAGATAGCCTTAGCATAGATCAGAAATATAACAGAGGCTGAAGGGTTAGGGAGGGCTAGCAGTGAGGAGTGAGAAGGAGAGAAAGAATAAGTCCATGTTGGAGATGTTCAGTTTCATGTGCCTTGTGTAAAAACATCCCACATGAGTCCATCTGCACACATGTATTGAGTGAGTCCTTATAACTACGCCATGACCCAGACAAATAATCTCAATTTTACTGGCACCCGAGAATCAGATTGGAATCTCTCCAATGAATGTCTTTGGCTCACCCCACTCCAGAAAAGTATCTGTATTCTCCCTCCTCAAATACTCTTCCCTGCGGTTTCTCTACAGTCCTGGCCACTCTCTGAGCAAGCAGTCTGCAGGGGCCAGCTCCTGGAGGCAACAGCACTGCCAGAAATTCATCCACCAGTCACCTTTCTCGGTGGTACTTAAAGCTCTCAGTCTGCACCCAGCCTGCCCTCCTAAGCTGCCCATGCTCTCGGCTGGCACTGAAAAGTCTCAGAAACACTTTAACCTACCTGAACGGTGATTGCCTCTTTTAGATGAGCAAGGAACTCTTTGTTGCAGGCTAATTAGCAACCGTCTTCCCAGGTAGCTGCAACGAAACTGGTCTCTTCCATGCTGTTAAGCAAGCTGGGTCTCTTGTTTGCAGTTAGATCCTGGCTTCTGTTCAGCTGACTTAGGGTAGGATTATTCCCCTGGCATTGAGGAACACACACGGTTGAGTCAAACAGCCCAAACCCCATTAGATGGCAAGGGAAAATACTGCTGTACTCTGATGTCACCCGAGGAAGACACGGGAACAGATGGTGAAGGCAAAAGCTTCATGCACCACAGAAACCTCGGAATACAACTTTCCCACGTAAGAATGAATAAACACTGAAAGAGGCCAAAACCCCAAACACTCTGGTATGAGGACTGCTCTTCTCAAAGCCAAAAGGTCATTGGGATGGCTTCTTAGAAGCCCTTGCGTTGCTTTTTCGTTTGGTAACGGGGCTAGGAAATCTCTGTGTCACCAGGAAGGCGAGTGGCCCTCTCTCCCTCTGGCTCTTTGGCAGGTGGCCACGCTTGTATCACATGGGGAATTTGGCAAATCAAGTCCGATTCTTTTGCAGTGTAGCTGCAGCAAGGATTTCCAGTTAGTGATTTTGTGGTGGCTCCTATGAGTCATAATTCCCTGATTCTTCTGCAGAGAGGGTGGACCTAAGTTTGTCCTTGTGAGGACCATCATTACTCTTGGTTTGAGAAGTCTGCAGTCCTTGGAGGACATAAAACTAAACCCCAAAATCTGAGTTCTTTTTTCAGAGACAAGGTTTCGCTCTGTCATCCAGGCCAGAATGCAGTGGCACAATCATGGCTCACTGCAGCCTAGACCTCCTGGGCTCAAGAGATCCTCCTGCCTCAGCCTCCCAAGTAGCTGGGACTACAGGCATGAGCCACCATGCCCAGCTAATTTTTTTTTTTTTTTTTTGAGACGGAGTCTCGCTCTGTCGCCCAGGCTGGAGTGCAGTGGCGGGATCTCGGCTCACTGCAAGCTCCGCCTCCCGGGTTCACGCCATTCTCCTGCCTCAGCCTCCCGAGTAGCTGGGACTACAGGCGCCCGCCACTACGCCCGGCTAATTTTTTTGTATTTTTAGTAGAGACGGGGTTTCACCGTTTTAGCCGGGATGGTCTCGATCTCCTGACCTCGTGATCCGCCCGCCTCGGCCTCCCAAAGTGCTGGGATTACAGGCGTGAGCCACCGCGCCCGGCGCCCAGCTAATTTTTTAATGCCCAGGCTGGTCTTGAACTCCTGGCCTCAGGCAATCCTCTTGCCCCAGTCTCCCAAAGCCATGGTTTACAGACATGAATCACTGCACCTGGCCCACAATATGAGTTTGAAGCATGGATACTGCCACTAGCTTTCTGGTGGCAAACTTTCACCAAACTCCTAGTGTCTTTTTTTTTTTTTTTTGCCGTTCCTTTGTGCTAAAATATGCCTTTTTTTTTTCCTCCTCCTGTTGTTACCTTTAAAATATTTTAATTAAAAACTACTGTCATCTTTTTAATATGTCTGTTATGGATTTCTGAATTAATATTTTTATTTAGAAACTTTTGTACATATATATATAAACAATGGCATTTTTTTTTTTTTTTTCATTTGAGACAGGGTCTTGCTCTGAAGCCCAGGCCAGAGCGCAGTTGTGTGACCTTAGCTCACTGCAGCCTCAAACGCCTGGGCTCAGGTGATCCTCCTGCCTCAGCCTCCTGAGTAGCTGGGATTACAGGAAAACACCACCATGCCTAGCTAATTATTTTTATTTTTTAGTGGCAGGGTCTTGCTATTTCTCCCAGGCTGGTCTTGAACTCCCAGGCTCAAGCAATCCTCCCGCCTTGGCCTCCCAACTAGCACTTTGCCAAGTTGCTCTTTTTAAATTGGCAATTATGCCAGGTCCTGGGCTAGTATTTCATCAGTGTTATTGTATGTAATCCTCACAACAATTCTTCCAGATAGGTACTTTTATTCCCATTTTACTGATAAGGAATCTAAGACTTGTTCAATGTTTCACTGCTTTTAAAGGGTGGCACCAGTGCTTGAACCCAGGCCCGTTTAACATCCAATTCCTTCCTTCTAAACTACTAACTAGACTGTTCTTTGCATGTGTGTTACATATAGGTATATATAGACTACATAGTAGGCAGGCAATAAATATTTGTTGAATGACTATTCTGTAGTGTATGTATTTGCTCAGAACTATCAAGTTTATTACTGTCCTTAGAAATTGATGCTAATCATGTGATCTTCTGGATCAGAGTATAGCTAAAAAGATTCATATCATAACATCAGGTGGAGCCCAGAACAATGAGTATTAAAGTGAGTGCTTAGATAATATGGTAATATCTATTACAAGCACCCACTTATAATAGGTATTACTTATAATAGGTTGTGGCTGAACCCTAAAGCACCTGGAATAGTCTTTATAATTAGTTCCTCAACAAATATTTATAAATGTATTCTAGTATCTTAGGTACCATGTAGGTATTAGGTTCTTGATAAATATTTCTTCAATACATCATTATTGCAGTCCCTTTTTATCACTGTTTAGGCCATGTCGATGAATTCCCCCAGCTGCACTCAATGTAAAGAGTGTGGGTTTGACTATATTTACTGTTCTCACATCAGCTGAGTTTAACTCACACCCAGCAGAGATGTTAAGGGTCAAAGGTATTGAGAGAAAGTTCTTTATCTATCCAACATGAAAACTGGCTGAATGCTGTGGATAATAAAGTCACTGTGAACATATACCTTTAGGAGAAAAAGGCCTTCTTTCCTTTGAAATGTGGGTTAGCTCTGTTTCGTGCTGTAACACATATTATTAAAAAGCCCCTGAAGCATTTTGAAGAGCTGTGAAGGCTTTACCTCTCTAAGTGTTACTTGCATTTCTCATGGCACTTCCTGCCTCATTTAATTCTACTAATGTTGTTAGATCACCTATCATAACTTGATGTACTGAATTAATATTTTCCTCTTGAAGACGTTTTGGAAAAAAATATATCTTGGCCTTATTATGAACTTAGAGGCCCTTGTTAATGAGCAGGATGCAAATGATTCATTTGGAAGACAGAAATCCTTTCTGAGTGGCTACCGTTTACTTAAATATTCTTGTGATGTGCAGAGTGATACTAACTGGCTTGAGAAAGTTGATACCGATTCCAAAACTAGGGTAATTTAAGATAAAAAATACACTAGGGGCTCTGTAAATGGGGTGAATATAACAAATTGCCTGAGATGAGCCAATTATCTGGGCTCTGAATTTGGCCTAGATTGCTGGTAATCAAGGCAAAAAGAAAAATAAGGTGGATAATATAGGTCTGACTGCCCCCACCATGTTTATTTGTTAAAGAAACATTTATAGGCCAGGTGCAGTGGCTCACGCCTGTAATCCCAGCACTTTGGGAGGCCGAGGTGGGTGGATCACCTGAGGTTGGGAGTTCAAGACCAGCCTGACCAACATGGAGAAACCCCCGTCTCTACTAAAAATACAAAATTAGCCGGGCGCTGTGGCGCATGCCTATAATTCCAGCTACTCTGGAGGCTGAGGCAGGAGAATTGCTTGAACCTGGGAGGTGGAGGTTGCAGTGAGTGGAGATCGTGCCATTGCACTCAAGCCTGGGCAACAAGAGTGAAACTCCATCTCAAAAAAAAAAAAAAGAAATATTTATAAATTTACCCAAATTTTACTTGGCATTCTATTCAAGGAGGAAAAAAGCATTTGTCTCCTAAAGAGTTACTGTATTCCTTTAAAAATATCCACAGGCAAACATAGTAACTCATTAAATATTATAGCCTACTCACAGGGTGTCTGCCATTCTTATTAGAGAAGAGAGAATGGCATATTAAAAATATGTCAGAAGTTATGGGAAGTTGTGAAGTGGAAGACAGACTTCAAGTTGTGATCCTTCACAAGGCTTCATTCTATGCTTGGCTGTTTGGGAGAGTTCAGAAATCAGCTCAATATGAAAGATATAAGAGCAACTGTCCAGCTGAGGTGGTACATACCACACTAATTTATGGAGAGGACTGAAAAAGTCAATTAAGCTCCTAAAATTCCTTCATCATTGCTAAGAAGCATTGACAAGCTAAGATATAAAGTTGGGAGATGGACTAAATACACAGGATGGCAGAATAAGACTAGACAAGTCTTGAAGGGTTAAAGAGATGAGATCATTCTAACATGGCATTTAGTAGAGGTCAGTGCCATGTCAGGCCCTGCCGTTGAGTCGAAAACATCAATGGTTTGAGTAAAGAATAGGTGGGAGGTATTTTGCAGCACTTGTGGGAAAAGGTGTTCAGGGTTTTAGTTGAAAGCAAGCTCCATATGAGGCCACATTGTGATGGTTGCAGTCCTTCATCCACCTTTTACCTACCTATCAAAAAATAAAGGAAACAGTGGGCTGGATGGTTTCTTCTTAGGGTAAATCCTCTCTTTGGTTGGGGCTGCTGTTGTTGTCCAGGTAAATACCTTTGCAAGCCAACATGCTTCCCATTTAACCCTGGGTTTTACCCATCCCAGCTGTCTCATAGAGGCCTGACTTGCACCTTTCTGTTCCCTGCCCTGCCCAAGCAGTCATTTGATGCCCCGCTTTAGAATAAAGGAAGTGATAAACTCTCTCTAGGCCATGCTGCTTGGACTTTGCCAGGGGTATTTCATTCCGCTTAGAGTACCACTCTTATAAGTATTGTACAGAAATTAACTCATTCAGAGAGTACCTAGGATAAGGAGTCTTAAAACTGAGTCATAGGAGGAACAGTTAAAAAACAGCAGGCTGGCCATGGTGGCTCATGCCAGTAATCTCAGCACTTTGGAAGGCTTAAGCAGGAGAATCACTTGAGGCCTTGAGTTTGAGACCAGCCTGGGCAACATAGCAAGACCTTGTCTCTACCAAAAAAAAAAAAAAAAAAAAAAAAAAAATTAAAGCCCAAAGCTTTCTCTAGAAGACAAAAGACAGGGAGACAAGAAAGCTGTCTTCCGAGGCCTGAGGGCTGTCACAAAGCAGACAGATTCATGTTATCTCTGTGGCCACGAGAGGTAAAGGCAGCACAGGGAGACCTCAGAGCATTTCAGCCCTAGAAGGAAGCCGCACAGAAGTGAGTCTGTAGGTGTTAGAAGGCAGCTGTGCTACACTAACTTTCAGATCCCTCCAACCTACCATCCTTGAGGTTCTTACGAATGTTGAAGTAATCTCGATTCTCGGAACTACCATCCCTCCTCCTCACCACCCCCCACACCCTAGAACCCTTTCTTGCTATAAAAAGGCCATTCCTTAGAAAGTTAAACATAGAATTACCATATGATCCAGTAATTCCACTTCTGGGGATGTACTCAAAAGAATCGAAAGTAGAATCTCAAATAGATACTTGTACAGTAATGTCTAAAGCAGCGTTATTCACAGTAGTCAAAAGGTGGAAGCAACCCCAGTGTCCCTCAGTGGATTAATATAACAAAATGTGAGGTATCCATATCATAGAATATTATCCAACCTTAAAAAGAGAAGAGATTCTGAGACATGCTGCAACATGAATAAACACTGAGGATGTTATGATAAGTAAAACATGCCTGTCACAAAAGGATGAATATTGTATGATTATACTTATATGAGGTACCTGGAGGAGTCAAATTAATAGAGACAGGAAGTAGAATGGTGGTTGCCAGGGGCTGCTGGGAGAAGGGGATGGGGAGTTGTTTAGTGGGTACAAAGTTTCCGTTTGGGAAGAGGAGAAAGTCTGGAGATGGATAGTGGTGAGGTTTGCACAAGAATGTGAATATACTTAATGACACCGAACTGTGCACTTAAAAATGGTTACATTGTGACCAGGTGCGGTGGCTCACACCTGTAATCCCAGCACTTTGGGAGGCCAAGGCAGGTGGATCACCTGAGGTCAGGAGTTTGAGACCAGCCTGACCAACATGGTAAAACCCCGTCTCTATTAAAAATACAAAAATTAGCTGGGCATGGTGGTGTGTGCCTGTAATCCCAGCTACTCGGGAGGCTGAGACAGGAGAATTGCTTTTACCCGGGAGGCAGAGGTTGCAGTGAGCTGAGATTGCACCATTGCACTTCAGCCTGGGCAACAGAGCGAGACTCCATCTCACAAAACAACAACAAAAAAAGGCTGGGCGCGGTGGTTCACGCCTGTAATCCCAACACTTTGGGAGGCCGAGGCGGTTGGATCACCTGAGGTCAGGAGTTCAAGACCAGCCTGGCCAACATCATGAAGCCCTGTCTCTACTAAAAATACAACCATTAGCCAGGCATGGTGGCGGGCACCTGTAATTCCAGTTACTCGGTAGGCTGAGATGGGAGAATCACTTGATCCTAGGAGGCAGAGGTTGCAGTGAGCCAAAACTGCTCCATTGCACTCCAGCCTGAGTGACAGGGCAAAACTCTGGCTCAAAACAGAAAAGCAAACAAACAACAACAACAACAAACAGCAAAAAAAAAAAAAAAAAAAAAAAAAAAAAGATGGGGTGGTTCCCCTCCAGTGGCTCACACCTGTAATCCCAGCACTTTGGAAGGTCGAGGCAGGCAGAATGCTTGAGCCCAGGAGTTTGACACTAGCCTGGGCAACTTGGTGAAACCCTGTCTTTACAAAAAAGTACAAAAATTAGCCTGGTGTGGTAGCCCATGCCTGCAGTTCCAGCTACTTGGGAGGGTGAGGTGGGAGGATCACCTGAGCCTGGGGAGGTCGAAGCTACAGTGAGCCGTGATGGCACACCGCTGCACTCCATCCTGGGCAACAGAGTGAGACCTTGTTTCAAAAAAATAAATAAAAGGCTGGACGTGGTGGCTCAGGCCTGTGATCCCAGCACTTTGGGAGGCCAAGGTGGGAGGATCACCTGAGGTCAGGAGTTCGAGACCAGCCTGGCCAGCATGATGAAACCCCGTCTCTACTAAAAATGCAAAAATTAGCCAGGCATGGTGGTGCATGCCTGTAAGCCCAGCTATGTGGGAGGCTGAGGCAGGAGAATCACTTGAACGCAGGAGGCGGAGGTTGCAGTGAGCCGAGATCGGGACACTGCACTCCAGCCTGGGCGACAGAGTGAGACTCTATCTCAATCAAGTGATAAATAAATAAATAAATAAATAAATAAATAAATAAATAAAAAAGTGAAGTGTGGGAGGGATTGCTCGGTACTCAGCATCAAGGATGAAAGCTGACTGCAGCCATTGTCCCAGTTGAGTTCAGTGGACTTTTCAGTGCAGCCCCGGGATGAAAAGTTCTTCCAGGCTCCTGTACTGTGCATGCTCTTAAGGACAGAAAGCGTTTTCTTTGCATCTAGACCCACTTACCCCCTGCCCCTCTGCTCAGTGCTTGTAGCTCTCTCTACACTGTTATTTCATCTTTTCATCCCTGCTAAATCTTTGCCCTGAAAAATGCAGCTCCCTTGATCTGAACAAATGCTGTGCCCCACTCTGGCCCTGAGTCCCCCATTAGAGCATCTGGAGGAGATACCGAACCACTTTCCATGTTTTCTTTCTTCCTTCATACTAAACACACTTTCCTCTTGTATGTGCCTTGCTGTGCAAAGTGCAGTTCATTGTTAAAGACAGATATAGAAACAAATACTTACAATATTGTTAAAAACAAATACAGAAACAAATAGTTACAATACTGTTAAAGACAGATACAGAAGCACATAGTTACAATACAATGTAGCAAATTTTGTAATGGGGAACAGATTTACAATGAAGGTTGTGATTTCTTATTAAGATGGACTCCAGAGACTCTCAAAGGAGCTATTTTTAGAAAAATTGTGTTGTGAATTACATATGCAATTAATAATAATAGCTAACATTTCTTGATCACAATTTCTAGTTGCCTTGTGTGACTTAATCCATGTAAATCTCAGAGTAAGCCTAAGTGGTACATACTGTTATCATCCCTATTTTTGAGTTGAGGAAATTTAGGCTCAGAGAGATTAAGCACACAGCTAGAGAGTGCTTGAGCCAGAATTTGAAGCTGGATTGCTTGTCTTATCTCCAGAGCCTCCCTCATAAGCACTATGTTCCCTCCAATAATGGCCAGAAAGCAATATAATGAAGTTTCTGTTCTTGCCAGAAAGTTTGCCAACATTTTTTCTTTTTCTTTTTTTTTCTTTTTTTTTTTTTTTTTTGAGACGGAGTCTCGCTCTGTCGCCCAGGCCGGACTGCGGACTGCAGTGGCGCAATCTCGGCTCACTGCAAGCTCCGCCTCCCGGGTTCACGCCATTCTCCTGCCTCAGCCTCCCGAGTAGCTGGGACTACAGGCGCCCGCCACCGCGCCCGGCTAATTTTTTGTATTTTTAGTAGAGACGGGGTTTCACCTTGTTAGCCAGGATGGTCTCGATCTCCTGACCTCATGATCCACCCGCCTCGGCCTCCCAAAGTGCTGGGATTACAGGCGTGAGCCACCGCGCCCGGCCTTGCCAACATTTTTTCAAACTTTTCAAACATATAAAACAATATAGGTGTGCTAAGTGTAATGTCGAGTCCTGGATTGGATCCTGAAATGGAAAAAGGGCGTTTGTGAAAAAACTGGTGAAATCTGAATAAAATCTAACGTTTAGTTGTACCAGTGTTAATTTCTGAGTTATGTTCATTTCTGTACCATGGTTATGTAAGATGTCAACACTGGGGGGAATGGGACGAAGGGGTATATGGGAACTCTTTGGACTACATTTGCAATTTTTCCATAAATTATCCCAAAATAAGACTTGCATTTAAAATGACAACATTATGGATATGAGACTTCATTGATATGTTTCTCCCATGGCCTCTTCCTAGAGATCATCCTTATCCAGAATGTGGTGTTTATCATTCAAAGGGCCTAACACAACTATTACTATACTAAATGTCAGTCATGAGCAATGCAGAGGATTTCTCAAGGCGTTTGGGTTTCAGTGAGGGATCAGGATTATGGGTCTTCCGAGAGACCCTGCTCCTCTTTCAGACAGGGGCACTGCCATAAGTCCCTCTCCCAATCAACCCAGTTTCACTCTCACCAACTACCCAGCCCAGACTTAGGCCCACTGTTGACCCCACAAAGGAGGCCACACCCTCCCTGCAGCTCCTGTTGCTCAGCCTTCCCTAAGCTGTGCACCACCCTCTCACCCAAACGAAGGCAGCTGGCCCTGAAGTTCTCTGAGCTTGAGGACAAAAAAAGACCTCTGTGAGTTGTCAGGCTCTGTTACAGTCTGGGTCAGCAGACAAGAGTCCCAGGGCTCGGCCGTCTTCTCTAGGAGAGAAAATATTCGTGCCATATAGCGTGTTCTAAGAGTTCTCACCAGAAGCCCAGAAAGTTCTGTATTTACTCAGCATTCAAGGTGTGTACCCAGACCACAACGCTACCCTAGGGGGCCCAGCTCTAGGACAGGGGATGGCCCAGAGCTCTGAAATTTGAGGTATTTTCTAGTATCTAACAGTCATTAGAAGGGCAACAGCTCTGAGACCTTATTCAACTATTTATTGAAATATTTGTTTTTCCCCATTGTCTATTTATAAAGGTAACTGGGAGGACAGAGGTTCATAGAGGCTCTCAAAGAAGAAGCCTAGAAAACCCACCAGGGAGGGTGGGGAGGGAAGCCCTGGGACCTGATCAGGGCTGTGCAAGCCCGACCTGACCCATGACCTGAGGCTGACCCACAACCTGAGGACAAGGGAAGAGAAGACACTAGGGCCTGGCCAAGGTCTCTGGGAAAATAAATAGGCCTATCTGTTGTCCTTTGACCTGCACATACTGTTCTTTTGCAGGGAAAACAGACCCTGTATTTTTGGGATTCCTGAAAGGTGACCAGGTGAGAGCAAAGCCCAACTTCCTGGGGAAAAGCTCTCAGCGCAGTGAATGCTACATTCGGAGGTAGGAAGGCTCTGGATGTGAGTCTTCATGTTTGTTTTTTGTTTTTTGTTTTTTTTTCTCTAAAATTACCAAAAAAGAGGAATATCCACAGAAGCAGAAGTAGGAATGGGGAAGGAGGGGACAAGTTTAGACCAAGCTCTTCTGTGACCTCACTTCTGCTTTTGAAGTCCCACAGCTCTATAAGGTAAGGTTACTTGTGTTATTAGCGCTTAAGTCAATATTGGAGGTGATAAGTTCTTGTTTTCTCAGCTAATTTACCTAATTTCTTCCGAAATTCCTATGAAGTATACTGGATTGTGAAATTAGTTCCTGCAGAGACACCTGAATCATGTCTCAAAGAAGGATCATTATCTTAGGGTACAATATCATGATTTTATAACATAAAACTAAGTCATGCAGCCCTACTGTCTTGGGAAAAAAAAAAACATTTCACAGTTTTAATAACAATTAGGATTATCATTGTTTATGTTTCCAAGTAGAAACAAAGTTTCTCATTTTACGTAGTTATGTGCGCTCCAAAGAGTCACGGACTGGGAGGCTGAAGACCTGAATTTTGCTCCAGTTCCGCCGTAACCATCTATTTGATAGTGGGCCTCAATTTCCTCATCTGTGAATGAGAAGTGACACTCCTTTATTGCTAAGAGGCTGCAATCATTGATATTCATTAAGCTGGAGAGGAAAGTGGGCATATGCAAATGTAAAATCCACATGATATGTAAGCATATACTACATAGGCAATGTAATCATGAAGGCATTATGATTAATAGTATTAAATGAGAAATGTTGATATCATAGCATTAGCAGAAGAAATTCTCTCTGGAGATAATTAATATTGAAGCTGGATGAATATTTATGGGATATTTGCCTTCCCAATTTTTCGCAATGATTTTCAGGAAAGAAGTTTAGACAACTTTCCCTGGTAACTTTGTCTCAATGTCTAAATGGCCTAATGGTGAGCGAAACATTCCTTTCATTTAAGCCACTGCTACCTTTGCTCTTAATTCAATGGGGTGGGGCAGAAAGGGCATGGATTTAGATAAGAGGCAGTCCTGGCTTGGCCACCTACTAGCTTTGTGCAAGGCAAATTACCCTTTCAATCCCAGGCCCCTTTTCTATTAAATGAGGATAATAATAATGCCTAGAGCTAGTTTAGATGAAAAATGCTTCATCAGGTGACAAAATGCTTATGATTATCACAGATTCTGCAGTGTTGTATTTATAAAAGACAAGGTGTGACCATTCTAAGATTTTAATCAATTGATTAACTTAATCCAATTAAATGCAGCTACATGGAAGAATCAATCACATAAACGTGTATATATATATATATATATATATATATATTTTTTTTTTTTTTTTTTTTTTTTTGAGACGGAGCTTTGCTCTTGTTGCCCAGGCTGGAGTGCAATGGTGTGATCTCAGCTCCATGCAACCTCTGCCTCCCTGGTTCAAGCGATTCTCCTGCCTCAGCCTCCCGAGTAGCTGGGATTACAGGCATGTGCCACCACGCCCGGCTAATTTTGTATTTTTAGTAGAGACAGGGTTTCTCCATGTCAGTCAGTCTGGTCTCGAACTCCTGACCTCAGGTGATCCGCCCGCCTCGGCCTCCCAAACTGCTGGGATTACAGGCATGAGCCACTGTGCCCAGCCAACATAATCGTTTTTTAAAAATTATATTTATATATACATATACATGTAGATATACACACCACACACACACACACACACACACACACACACACACACACACGTATATTTTTTAACTTTTTTTTTTTTTGAGGCAGAGTTTCGCTCTTATTGCCCAAGCTGGAGTGCAATGGCACCATCTTGGCTCACTGCAACCTCTGCCTCCCGGGTTCAAGCGATTCTCCTGCCTCAGCCTTCAGAGTAGCTGGGTCTACAGGCATGCACCACCACACCCGGCTAATTTTTGTATTTTTAGTGGAGACAGGGTTTCACCATGTTGGTCAGGCTGGTCTTGAACTCCTGACCTCAGGTGATCCACCCACCTCAGCCTCCCAAAGTGCTGGGACTACAGTATGAGCCACCATGCCGGCCTATATTTTAACTTTTATTCTAGGTTCAGGGGCTCAGGTGCAGATTTGCTATATAGGTAAATTACGAGCCACGGAGGTTTGGTATACAGATTATTTCGTCACTCAGGTAATAAACATCGTACTAAATAGGTAGTTTTTTTATCTTCACACCTCTCCCATCTTCCACCCTCAAGTAGGCCCCGTGTTTGTTGCTCCCTTCTTTGTGTCCATGTGCACTCAATGTACATAAACATAATCTGGAGTGAAAGAAGCCAGACATAGCAAAGTAGGTTCGGTCTGATTTTATGAAGAGAGCTTCTAAGAGTCTGGTCATGTTCTATTTCTTGATCAATGTGTTGTTCATGATTGTGTTCAGTTTGTAATCATTCATCAGATTGTGAACATAAGATGTGTGCTATTTTCTATGTATGTATGTTATACTTCAATAAAAAGTTAACATTTTTGTGTTTGAGATGATGGATATGCTGATACTGTGATCTGATCATTATATATTATAAATATCAAAACATCACTATATACCTCATGACTATGTACAATTATTATTTATTAATTTAAAAATGTGAACTTCTTTTGATTTAGAAACATTAGACACAACAGATTTTTAAAAAACAGCAACAGGCCAGGTGCGGTGGCTCACACCTGTAATCCCAGCACTTTGAGAGGCCGAGATGGGCGGATCACAAGGTCAGGAGATCGAGACCATCCTGGCTAACATGGTGAAACCCCATCTCTACTAAAAATACAAAAAAAATTAGCCGGACGTGGTGGCGGGCGCCTGTAGTCCCAGCTACTTGGGAGGCTGAGGCAGGAGAATTGCTTGAACCCAGGAGGCAGAGCTTGCAGTGAGCCGAGATCGCACCACTGCACTCCAGGCTGGGCGACAGAGCAAGACTCTATCTCAAAAAATAAATAAATAAAATAAAATAAAATAAATAAAAAAATAAAAAAAAACAGCAACAACAAAATCTCCACATATGCCAATATCTGGAAATAACTCCTCTTAATATTTTGGCATAGACTCTTCCAGAATTTTTTCTATATGTATAAACATACATTTTACAAAATGGGATCATACCGTGCATCTTTGAGTAACCCCATTTTCTCACTATTTCACTCTTACAAATACTGACAAACAAGACTTTTTCAAACATCTTGGCTCAGTAGATCATTTATTTATTTATTTTTAGGATTCCTAAAACTGGACATGGTGGCTGTAGGAGGATGCGCCTCTTTCAGTCATTGGATTTCCCCTGGAAAGACAGAATGAATTCACATTCTCACCTGCAGTGGGTGAGAAGTCCCTTTTCCCCCACTTCCTTGCCAAAAATGGATATTATCATTCCTTTTCATCTTTGCCAGTCTGGAAGTTATGTGCAACTGAACACAAGAATTACAGAAGAGGCCGGGCGTGGTGGCTCACGCCTGTAATCCCAACACTTTGGGAGGCTGAGGCGGGCAGATCACTTGAGGCCAGGAGTTTGAAACCAGCCTTGGCAACATGATGAAAACCTGTCTCTACCAAAACACACACACACACACACACACTAGCCAGATATTGTGACACACACCTGTGGTCCCAGCTACTCGGGAGACTGAAGTGGGAGGATCACTTGAGCCCAGGAGGTTGAGGCTGTAGTGAGCTGTGATTGCACCTCTGCATTCCAGCCTGAGCAACAGAATGAGACCCTGTCAAAAAAAAAAAAAAAAAAAAAAAAAGGAGGCAGCTGGGATTTAAGAACCAATTCAGGGATAGAACAAAATTTGGGCTCCATCCCAACTCTGAAGCTCAGTTTCTTCAGCTGTAAAATGGGGTAAATAATAATCTTTCCAAAGGGAAAAGTTAAATAGCTTAATCCTAGTCCTAACCACCCCCAATGGCTCTCCCTTCTTCCCAAATTCCTTTTCAATCTTGTCTCCTCCCAGCAGCCTGAGTATTCCAATATGAATGTAAATCACATGACATGGTTTGTATCTGTGTCCCCATCCAAATCTCATGTCAAATTGTAACCTCAGCGTTGGAGGTAGGGCCTGATGGGAGGTGACTGGATCGTGGAGGCAGAGTTCTTATGAATGGTTTAACACAGTCTCCCCTCGGTGCTGTGTAGGGGTTAAGTTCTCTTGAAATCTGGTTGTTTAACCGTGTCCAGCACCTCCCTGTCTCTCTCCTCCTTCTGCTCTGGCCATGTGAGATTCATTACTCCCCTTTGCCTTCCACCATGATTGTAAGTTTCCTGAAGCTTCCCCAGAAGCTGATGCTGCCGTGCTTCCTGTACAGCCTGCAGAACTGTGAGCCGATTAAACCTCTTTTCTTTATAAATTACCCAGTCTCAGGTATTTCCTTATAGCAGCGCAAGAACTGCACTGATTAATACATCACACCACATCATCTCTGTCTTAAAGCTCTTGCTCAGCCAGCTGTAGTACTTAGAACAAAATCTAAACTTATCCTGGCTGACTTGGGTCCACCTGCTCTGTCTTTGCCTGCCCCACTGTAGATACTGTCGGGCTTTGCTTTCATTTGCCCACCTTTAAAAAATTATTATTGTTATTTACTTTTCAAATTTATTATTTTTTTTATTTTAAAATGTTTATATTTTTAGAGACAAGATCTTGCTTTGTTGCCCAGGCTGGAATGCAGTAGTGCGATCCTAGCTCACCGTCGTCTCAAACTCCAGGGCTCAAGCAATCCACCTGCCTCAGCCTCCCAAGTAGCCCAGCTAATTTTTTTTTTTGAGATGGAGTTTTGCCCTTGTTGCCCAGGCTAGAGTGCAATGGCAGGATCTCAGCTCACTGCAACCTCCACCTCCCAGGTTCAAGTGATTCTCCTGCCTCAGCCTCCCATGTAGCTGGGATTATAGGCAGGCGCTACCACGCCCAGCTAATTTTGTACTTTTAGTAGACATGGGGTTTCTCCATGTTGGTCAGGCTGGTCTTGAACTCCCGACCTCAGGTGGTCTGCCTGCCTTGGCCTCCCAAAGTGCTGGGATTACAGGTGTGAGCCACCACGCCTGGCCACTAATTTTTATTTTTTACTTTTTGTAGAGACAGGGTCTCATTATGTTGGCCAGTCTGGTCTCAGACTCCTGACCTCAAGCAGTTCTCCTGCCTCAGCCTCCCAGAGTGCTGGGATTACGTTGTGAGCCACTGTGTCCCGTCAGCCCACATTTTTGAGGCTGCACTGGCCTCTGGGTTTCTTGAATGGGCAGTCCCTCGGGCCTGTGTCCTGGGATGCTCCTCCTCCCTCTCTTTCCTGTCCTTGCCAACTTCAGCTTAAAACCACATCCTCAGGGAGACCTTCCCTGTCCTCCTGCTATTTTCTCTCCCACCATCCTGTTTAGTCCCTTCACAGGGACTTATTACTATGTGTAATGATACATTTCTTTGCTTACTTTTGTGTTTTGTCTCCCCACCACCTGGTAAGCTCAATGAGAGCAGACATAAGGCCTTCTGAGTTTGTTGCTATATCCCCCAGCACCTAGGTCTGCGCCTCATTGTACATGCTCAACAAATATTTGTTGAATGTGTGAAAATAAGTATTTCAAAATCAAGGCTGTTGGAACTTTAAAATATTATGAACCTTGAAGGAGTGTGATTATGGGACTCAAGTTACATAAATAGGCAGCTGTAACCTTTGTTTCTCTGATTATAGATTAGCCTTCTTTCTTACCCACATTGTTTTGTAAAATGTTGTAAATGACTGAAGGGTGCCAGGGAAGATCCCTTCCACCTTCACTATTGATCTTCATTATAGATTCACTTCCTTCTTACCTTTCTGACACAAAGACTTCATAACTATCTCATTGTCTAAGATGAAATGTTCTAATCCTACTAAATTTCTTTGTTTTCTGCCTGTATAAGCAAGACTTTAATTTTTTTTTTTTTTTTTTTTTTTTTGAGACAGAGTCTTGCTCTGTCGCCCAGGCTGGAGTGCAGTGGCGGGATCTCGGCTCACTGCAAGCTCCACCTCCCGGGTTCACGCCATTCTCCTGCCTCAGCCTCCTGAGTAGCTGGGACTACAGGCGCCCACCATTATGCCCAGCTAATTTTTTGTATTTTTAGTAGAGACGGGGTTTCAGCATGTTAGCCAGGATGGTCTCGATCTTCTGACCTCATGATCTGCCCGCCTCAGCCTCCCAAAGTGCTGGGATTACAGGCATGATCCACCACACCTGGCCGACTTTAACTTTTTTTACTTTAGATCACTGGCTCCACTTCTTTGAAGTCCGTGTTTCCTGGATGGCTATTCCTGGCTTTGAGCTCCAATAAACTCTATACCTAATCATATGTTCTAAATCATGTTATTTAAGGTTGACAAATGAATCAATAACTATTTCACTTTTCCACCAGTTTGGTGGTGGGTAAACCATAGCATGGTAACAGGGTGAGATAGCCACCAATTCTCTGTAACCCATCCTTCTGGGCTGCTCTCTTCCTGGTCTGAAATCTTCCCAGGCCATTTCTGATCTCTCTCATCCCGCATCCCCAAGTTGTTGATGGTATCACCTTCTGCAGCTCTGAAATGAAATATATGCTGTCTGGTACTGTTCTTTTAGTGTTGGAAGTGCCTCCTGCCACCTTAGGGAACTATATATGAGTTTACACTAATCTAGTTTCTTCAAATGGCACACTGTCTCAAGGGGGTGGGAGGGCTCAATAAATATTCATCAATTCAGCATTCATTTATTAAGTACCTACGAAGTACCAGTTATTATATTAAACACCTAGGATACAAATACAAATAAGGCACAGCATTTCCTAACTTCAGGGAGCTCACAGTCTAGGGAAGGGGGCACATAATTGTAATATTATGTAGCAATTGCAGTGGCTTGCTATGTAAAAGACAAAGGGCGCCAGGCACACTGGCTCATGCCTGTAATCCCAAGACTTTGGGAGGCCAAGGTGGGCAGATCACTTGAGTCCATGAGTTCGAGACCAGTCTGGCCAACAGCCCGGGGGTTTAGTAGAAACCCCATCTCTACTAAAAATACAAAAATTAGCCAGGTGTAGTGGTGCATGCCTGTAGTACCAGCTACTCAGGAGTCTGAGGCAGGAGAATCGCTTGAACCCGGGAGGCAGAGGTTGCAGTGAGCCAAGATCTCACCACTGTACTCCAGCCTAGGTGACGAAGTGACTCTATCTCAAAAAAAAAAAAAAAAAAAAAAAAAAGACAAAAAAAACACACAGGGGGGCCAGGCACGGTGGCTCACGCCTGTAATCCCAGCACTTTGGGAGGCTGAGGTGGGAGATCAGGAGATCAAGACCATCCTGGCTGACATGGTGAAACCCTGTCTCTACTAAAAATACAAAAAATTAGCCGGGCGTGGTGGTGGGCGCCTGTAGTCCCAGCTACCCGGGAGGCTGAGGCAGGAGAATGGCGTGAACCCAGGAAGTGGAGCTTGCAGTGAGCCGAGATTGCACCACTGCACTCCAGCCTGGGCGACAGACCGAGACTCTGTCTCAAAAAAAAAAAAAAAAAAAAAAAAACAACCACACAGGGGAAGGATACTGAACCCAGTCTGAGGAAGAGGAGGAGGAGGAGGACAGCAGGCTTCCTGGAGAGGTGCCATCTGATCTGAGCGAGCCAGATAAAGAGGACAAAGGCATTAGCAGAAGAGGGAACAGTATCAGTCCAGGCCTGGATGGAGAGCAGCATTCTGTGGGCAAGGCAACAGTCAGCAGTTTAGTGTGGTTAGAAAATAAAGTGCAAGTCAGAAAGTGCTGAAAAATAAGTCAGTGAGATGGGCTGGTGCCTGTTCAGGGAAGCTGCTGAAAGTTAAGGTCAGCAGCTTGGACATTTCTGTAGAAAGAGATCACTGAACATTTTAGCCAGGAATGGGGTGGGAGGTGTTGGATTTGGGGAGGACGCATTTGGAGGCAGGGAGATCTGGTGAGATATGACCAGGATCTGCCCTGGGTCAGTGGTAATGAAGAGGGAGAGTCAGGCAATATGTTTAAGAACCTTTAAGAGGTAAAACTGGTAGGACTTGGTGATTGATTAAATGTGGAACAGATTGCAGAGAGAGAAAAAGAGAGAGAGAGAAGTCAGTAGCTTGAGTGACCTCATTATGATGGAATCCCATCGACAAAGAGAATACCAGGGAAGCGGTTTGGTGACATGGGGGACGTGAGGTGACACTTTGGTTTGGGATATGTTGAGTCTGAGGTGCTTTGGGGGATGTAGAAACAGCTTTGATTTTGAATTACTTATTGTTACAATATAATGGCAAGATGTATGGTTTGGGGATTAGCATCTCCCTTCACTGAGCTCACTTGTATTCAGCGGTTCGTATATTTCACCATGGTAGGTGCTAGGAGTGCCCCATCCAGGTCCCTTTTGCTGGCTGATGACAACTCACAGCCCCTCCTTCTCCTGGGAGTCAAGGCTCCCAAAAGGCAGTCTGGCCCAGACATACAAAAGCTCAGCCCCCTGCATCAAGGAGGCATTGCCTGTGTGGTGCACTTTGGGTTTCCCAAGCTCCCTGGAGGGATCAGCCTGAAGCTGGTCTCCAGATGAGACCACATCCTTCCTTGACTTTCCCCACCCTGTGCTCTCTTGCCTCCTCACTCGCCTCCTCCTGAGAACACTGCCCTGATGAATCACTTGCTCAAGAATCCTCCTGTTCTTGGGAACCCCACCGAAGACACAGGAGAAATTGGGCAATTGGGAGTTGGTTGGCCACAGTTTTAGGAATCCACAGTAAAGAGGGGGCTGAAGGTGAATTTTATTCCTCTGGACAGAGCTGATAGTGAAATGAATGATAGTGGGGTTGCCTTTATCCACAGTAGAAGGTCATTTGTGTTATTTTTATTGGTTTTTAGTTTATTAGTTTTATTAAGCCACAATTCTAAATCTCTGAGTCAAAAGCATTTGTCAAAATTCCTGCTTACGGACTATTAAAGTTCCTGAGTTTGGAAGGAGTTCTTTTTTCCTAAATTCCACGTTGCCCTTCCCTTCTTTACTCTTCATGTTTGAAATGATGTCACTGAAAGCAGGTGCTCTTTGGTGGTTGAGATGGACCCGCCTGTCACCCCTAGACTGGATCCATTTTCTCCCTTGAAACCTTGTAGTATCTTTTTGCTTCTCTAAAGTAGCAGTTCTGGGCACTGTCCATGGAATTGCCCATTTCTTGCCTGTTTAGTCAAAGAAGACTCGAGAACTGAGCATAATTCAGAGTTAACACAGCCTTCTTCTTTGTTATCTCATCGAAAAGTGCTTACAAAATATTTATTGAATGATAAAAATGAAAGATTAAATGAATGAGTGATCAATATTGCCCAACCAGGCAAGTTCCATATAAATGCAAATTGGCTTTCACTGTGCAATGTCCTTTCGCTGTATGTCTCTTTAATCTGTTTGCCCTATCGCCTCCAATTGGTGGCAAAGACTACATCTTCTATTTCCCTTTTATCCCTGCAATAGACTATAGAAATCGTGTTTGATGGAATAACTAATTAGTCAGTCAACATTTATTGATCGCCAACTATTTTAAGGGTATTTTAAAGATGGGGATTTAAAAATAAATAAAACACAGTGGTCTTTAAGGAGCTCATGATGGCCTGAGTATACAATTTGTTCTTAAATAGAGTGACTTGCTAAATGCATAAATGCATTTGATTTAATATTTATTCCTTTGTAAACTTCTCATAGAAATAAATTCACAAATAATTAAAACATCCTTTTGCAGATCACGTGACTGAATTTTGTCAGCAAATATGGCCGGCACGCCAATCAGGCTCTGGCTGTAAATGCAATCAATCCATTACTGCTTAGCTAAAAAGGCAAAGTTGCTGGTTCAAGTCCTACTGTGTGTACCTGCAGGGGAACTAAGGTCTCCACTGTGGGGTGTGTGTGAGTCTGAATCTAAATTGCAGGCTGGGAAGCTGACTTTAAACAGCATGCTTCTTTAAAGTTCTGAGAGTAGGTTCCTTGCTCCAGGCCTTGAAATGAAATCAAAGCTGGCTTTGGCCTTGGTTTTAGCTTTGGTCTAGTAATAGCCTGATAGGTACATCTACAGTAGCTTTTTTTTTTTTTTAATAACTCTTTCTCTTTAAAGACAGGAACACTTGGTATTTCTCGGTGTCTGTGAGGTGAGTCATGCATTTTATAGGCGCAGAAATTGAAAGAGGAGTGACTTGCGTATGGTCAGAGAGCAAGTCCAAGACTACGGTGAGTCCAGCACCACAGGGCCACCCAGAACTACTTGGCCTGCTGCCCATCCTCTTGTCTCTCCACTGCACTAGGCATAAATGTCAGTAAAGAAAGCAAGTGTGGCCCATTGAGAGAAAATGTGGCACAAGCCAAGAGTTCACAGCACTTGAAGTGGTAAAGGCAGATCCAGGTTGAGGCTCTGTTCTGCCCAGTTTATGATGAAATACTGATAGTGGATTTCTTCCTTTTCACCTGTTCCTGCCCCACTTGCCTGTCAAAGTCAGCCAGCACACTTTCCTCAGCAAATGGGTGGTAGGTTCTGGGCAAAACAATGTTATAATAAAAACAGAAAAGGTAAACCATGCCATTGGCTCTGACTGCCTTAAAGGGTTTTTGTCTCTAAGCTAGAAGACATGCTTTCTTGTACTTTCCCTGTCGAGATGGAGGCATTTCACTTGTCATCCATAGAAATTCTCCTACTTTGGGGAGTGTAAATTAGTTCAACCACTGTGGAAGACAGTGTGGCAATTCCTTAAGGATCTAGAACCAGAAATACCATTTGACCCAGCAATCCTATTGCTGTGTATATACCCAAAGGATTATAAATCATTCTGCTATAAAGATACATGCACACATATGTTTATTGCAGGACTATTTATGATAGCAAAGACTTAGAACCAACCCAAATGCCTATCAATGATAGACTGGATAAAGAAAATGTGACACATATACACCATGGAATACTATGCAGCCATAAAAAAGAATGAGTTCATGTCCTTTGCAGGGACATGGATGAAGCTGGAAACCATCATTCTCAACAAACTAACACAGGAACAGAAAACCGAACACCACACGTTCTCACTCATAAGTGGGAGTTGAACAATAAGAACACAGGGACACAGGGAGGGGAATGTCACACACTGGGGCCTGTCAGGGTGTGGGGAGGTAAGGAAAGGGAGAGCATTATGACAAATACCTAATGCATGCGGGGCTTAAAACCTAGGTGATGGGTTGATAAGTGCAGTAAACCACCATGGTAAATGTATACCTATGTAACAAACCTGCACATTCTGCACATGTATCCTGGAACTTAAAGTAAAATAAAAAGAAAAGAGAAATTCTCCTACTTTTTTTTGGCAATAATGGGTGTTAGCAAAAGGATTCACCATTCACCATCTATTGAATACCTATTTGAGCCAGGTACCATTGGGCATTTTTTTTTTTTTTTTTTGAGATGGAGTTTCACTCTAGTCGCCTAGGCTGGAGTGCAATAGTGCAATCTCAGCTCACTGCAACCTCTGCCTCCTGGGTTCAAACGATTCTCCTGCCTCAGCCTCCAGAGTAGCTGGGATTACAGGCACCTGCCAGCATGCCTGGCTAATTTTTGTATTTTTAGTAGAGACGGGGTTTCACCAGGTTGGCCAGGCTGGTCTTGAACTCCTGACCTCAGGTGATCCACCCGCCTCGGCCCCCCAATGTGCTGGGATTACAGGCTTGAGCAACTGTGCCTGGCCCCATTGGGCATTTTACTTGGTCTTTTTTGGTCCTCATGACAACAGATATTTATTAAGCAACTACCAAGTGCCAGACACCATGTTGGGGGCAGGAGATACAAAAATAAATAAGGCACAGTCCCTACTCTCTGGAGTTAAAAAGACTAGTGTGGAAGATGTAATCATAATCAAGTAACTGTAATGCGGTTTTATAAGGGCTCCAGTAAGAGGTGACCCCAGAAGGTGATGGGAACACATAGGAGGAGACCCTAACCTGATTTTGGGGTCCCAAGAAAGTCTTATAAGAAGTGATGTCCAAGCACTATTAGATGGGAGGGAATTCTTTTTCGAGACAGGGTCTTGCTCTGCCATCCAAGCTGGAGGGCAGTGGTGCAATCATATCTCACTGCAGCCTCGACCTCCGGAGCTCAAGTGATCCTCCTGCCTCAGCCTCCCAAGTAACTGGGACCACAGGTGTGCACGTCACACCCAGCTACTTAAAAAATTTTTTTTTGCAGAGATAGAGTCTCACTATGTTGCCCAGGCTGGTCTCGAACTCCTGAGCTGAAGCGATCCTCTTGCCTCAACATCCCAAAGTATTGGGATTACAGGTGTGAGCCACTGCACTCAGCCCTAGATGGGAATTGTTAGCTCCAGACTTATCTTTGAGCCTCATAGAGTTTGTGGAAAATAGAATAATGACCCGCAAAAATGTCCATATCCTAATCACCAGGAGCTGTGAATATACGTGGAAAAAAAAACAACAACAACAAAGAAAAACTTTGTCAATGTGATTAAGTTAAACATCTTGAGATGGGAGCTTATTTATACTGGGTTAGCTGGGTGGGTCCACTGTAATCACATGTAATCCCTTATAAAAGGAGTCAAGGCCGGGTGTGGTTGGCTCACCTGTGTAATCCTAGCACTTTGGGAGGCCAAGACGGGCCGATCGCCTGACGTCAGGAGTTCGAGGTCAGCCTGACCAACATGGCGAAAACCCATCTCTACTAAAAATACAAAAATTAGCCAGGTGTGGTGGCACATGCCTGTAGTCCCAGCTACATGGGAAGCTGAGGCAAGAGAAACGCTTGAACCCAGGAAGCAGAGGTTGCAGTGAGCCGAGATTGGGCCACTGCACTCCAGCCTGGGTGACAGAGCGAGACTCCATCTCAAAAAAAAAAAAAAAAAAAAAAAGAAAGAGTCAAGGCCAGGTGTGGTGGCTCACGCCTGTAATCCCAGCACTGTGGGAGGCCAAGGCAGGAGGATCACTTGAGCCCAGGCTGCAGTGAGCTATGATTGCACCACTGCACTCCAGCTTGGGTAACAGAGTGAGACTCTGTTTCTAAAAGAAATTTTTTTAAGTAAATAAATAAAGAGGGAATCAAGAAGGTCAAAGTCAGTAGTGGGAGATGTGACAACAGAAGCAAGAGGTTAGAGTGATGCGAGGAAGGGGCCATGAGCCCAGGAATGCAGGTGACCTTCAGAAGCTGGAAAAGGCAGGAAAACAATTCATCCTTAGAGACACCTGAAGGAGCCTGCCCTGCTGACACCTTGCTGTAGCCTGCAAGACACATTTCGGGCCTTTTCCACAACTGTAAGAGAATAAATCTGTGATGTTTTAAGCCACTAGGTTTGCGGTAATTTCATACAACAGCAATAGAAAACTAATACAGAGTTTAAGATATAACTTGCTCAGTGTCACAAATTAGACAATGATGAAGCCAGGATTAAAACCAAGAGTGAATAATTCCAAAGCCCAAGTGGTCTTTCCTCAGAGCTCATATTACCTCTTAGGAAACTCTTTAGGTCTTCATTCAATATAATTTGAAGAACTTGTCTGTCAGCCTCCCTTCTCTCTTGCCTGAGGCACAAATATATGCTCACGGAGACGGTAAGTGGCATTAGCTGCAACAATGCTGGAACGCAAGAGGACGAACATCTGCAGATCAATGAATGTTTGTTTTCTGAATAGTATTGTGGAAAAGGAACCGGATTAAATGTTTAAGAGACTTAGTTCTAGTCCTAGTACTGGTATTAACCAGCTCTGAGACTAGAGCAAAGCCCTTAATATTTCTAAGCCTCTTTTTTGCTCATCTGTGAAATGAGGGCTTAAGCTAGACAGTTTTTGATATTCTTTAGTTTCAACTTTCTATAATTCCTCAAGACTCCCAGTATGTCCTGCCTCTTCTCTCCAGGACACACACTTTGAGGCCATTTAAGTCTCTAATGGGAGTTCAGTTTTAGCAACTTAGATGCCAGTTCATCTATTATTTAGCCAAGGACGAGGAAAGAGACCTCTCCTTTTCCAGTGTCAGCAGAGATCATCTTAAAGTCCCTGAGTTTTAGAACCTCAAAAGATTACTTAGCAATTGGCAAAGTAGAAGAGAATGATCCGAGTTTGTAAATTCTGATAATTGCATTAAAGACTTATTTGAATGGTCCTAGATGAAAAATAGTTCCAGCTAGTTCTGGAAATGGCCATACTCCAGGTCGTCTGGTGCTTGAAAGAGGAGCTTGAAATAAGATCTGGACCATTGGCAAATGATCTTAGGGGCCACAGTATACTAGATTCAAGGCTGTTTCAGGTTGTGAGTTCAAGCCGAAAGCAATACTGAGGCTTTAGCTATGCGGGAGTGATCCCTGTGGGTTTCAAGCAGCGTTAATGATTATATTTGCCACATCACAGCTTGGCATATTTGAAGCATGGAAACCGCAGCACAAATTTCCCTCTATCTTTCTGTGCTCGTTCTAGGTATAATTCTACCGGTGCTGCTGATGTTACCCAGATTGGTTCCTTGACATTTCTCTGCTTTCTGCACTGTAGATGCCCTAGAACATTAAGGAGGCAAACATACTGATTATTAGCTGGATCGATCGACAAACAATAAATAATAAACACACCCATGGCCTTAAAGGACTTTCCCTTCTTGACATCTCTCTACAGCAGGTGACACTCATCACTTTCTCCTAAAACCTGTTTCCATCCTATTCCAGGATGCTTTACCCACTTCCTCTTCTGGGCTGCCCCTGCTTACTTTCTACCTCGGGCTCCTCTTCTTCCCTTTGCCTGCTCACTCTTAGTCTTCCATTTCTATACATGGTTCTCAACTTTCCTCTGCACGTTTTCTCCCTTGACAGCCTCGTCCCATCTCAGTGCTTTAACTTCCTAATGCGGACCACACTGAAGTCTATAGGGACCTCCAAGCTGTCTCTCGAGCCTCAGTCCCACATACTGAAGACACTGGGTCACAGAGCCTGGGCTGAATCCCATCTCTGCCACTCAGAACAGCTGTGTGAATGTGGTCACGTGACTTCAGCCTCCATTTCCTTATCCATAGAATGGGGAGAATCATAGAATCCACCTCTTGGTGTTGTAGTAAGCATTTAGATGTTAATTTTGTGAAATGATTGGTTCAGAGTATTCACTTAATAAATGATATCTTTTTTTTTTTTTTGAGATGGAGTCTTGGTCTGTCACCCAGGCTGGAGTGCAGTGGCATAATCTCCGCTCACTGCGGCCTCCACCTCCTGGGTTCCAGCAATTCTCCTGCCTCAGCCTCCTGGGTAGCAGGAATTACAGGCACATACCACCATACCTGGCTAATTTTTGTGTTTTTAGTAGAGATGGGGTTTCACCATATTGGCTAAGCTGCTCTCGAACTCCTGACCTCAGTGATCTGCCTGACTTGGCCTCCCAAAATGTTAGGATTACAGGTGTGAGCCACTGTGCCTGCTCATAAATGATATCTCTAATTTTATTTGAATAATTGATCTTTAGAACTTGAAAACTCTGCTAGCACATCAATACATTCCTCTTCTCTCCAAATAAGCAAAACCAAGCACCTCCACACAATCCATCCAGTGATCTCTACTTCTGTTAGTGGTGTCACCTACCTTCCCGTTTTCTAGACCTAAGAGTTTGAAATCAACATTGAGCCTCTTTCTTTTGCCCCCACATGTAGTCAATTGCCAAGTCCTGCCTCTCAGTTCAAATCCGGTCCCTCCTCTCCATACTTTCCTCAGTAGCCTAATTTACATTGCTCACGGTCACAGTTCCCTAACCAGACTCCCTTCCTCTCGCAATCTATTCTGCACCTCACAGAAACATTCATATTGGCTGTAATTGCACACTCCCTGGTCCTAAACAAACTTCCACTGACTCACCCTTCTTGTTGAATAAAATCCAACCCCTCAATGTGGCATTCAAGTTCTAGCGCAGTATGATGGAGGCTTGGCTCAGAGTGTGTGTTGAAGGGCTGGGCGGGTGGGGACTGCCCTCTGGATGGCATGAGTAGGCATCAGCTTGGAGTGGGAGAAACTATGAGTCACTTGGTTGTTTTCAGTAAGTGGCAGGGAGTTTAAAAAGAGAACGGATAGCTACATTCCAAATCGCAAAAAATGTAAAAAATCATATGGGCATGAATAACATTCAGCCACAAATATTTATGAAGCTTCTGCTGTGTGCCAGACAAAATGGCTGGGTATTAGGACTATGACAGTGAAGATAACACAGCCCTTGCTCTCAAGGATTTACAGTTGATGAGAAAGGCAGACAAATCCAGGAGGCATTATAATCCACCATGACAGCTGCTGAGCTCTTCTGTGGGAATTTGCAGCAGTGGCACCCACATATGTGGGCATTTGGAGAAAGTGGGGAAAGCTTCCAGGAGGAAATGATGTCTTAACTGGGACAGAAGCAAGAAGAGTCAGCCAGGTAAGGGTGGACAGGTCAGGGTCGGGAGGGGGTGTTTCAAGGCCAAGCGGATGGCCTGGGACCACCAAGAGACAGAGAGAGCTTGGTGGGATGGTGCCATTTGGCTGAGACTTACCTGGGGACAGAGGTGAGTGATGTTGAAAGATATACTTCAAAACATCATGCTGGCTTGTAATCCCAGCACTCTGGGAGGCTGAGGCGGGCAGATCACGAGGTCAGGAGATCGAGACCATCCTGGCTAACACGGTGAAACCCCGCCTCTACTAAAAATACAAAAACATAGCGGGCGTGGTGGCGGGCGCCTGTAGTCCCAGCTACTCGGGAGGCTGAGGCAGGAGAATGGCGTGAACCCGGGAGGCGGAGCTTGCAGTGAGCCGAGATCGCGCCACTGCACTCCAGCCTGGGCAACAGAGCAAGACCCTGTCTCAAAACAAACAAACAAACAAAGAAAAAAATCATGCTGTACATGATAAATACATCCAATATTATCTGTCGATTTAAAAAAATAATAAAAGGTAAGGTTAAAGAGGTAGGCAGGGAATGGATAATGAAGGACTATTCCATGAGAAAAGGATCGGCTTTCACCCTGGAGATGAAGGGACTCACGGGTTTTAAGCAGGGGAGTGAATCAGATTTTCTTTATTCTCAGAAGCTGGGGAAAAGGTTGGCGTTTTAGTTGGGAAGAGGCTAAATACCCCAATAATTAGAACTCAAAAGAATTTAAGTTAGTGACAAGATAATTGTTCTTGGCTCTGTATCTCTGACCTTTGTGAGGTATAAGTAACAAGAGAAGTCATCAATTAATTTATGTTGTTGTCTAAATAAATGTTTCTCAGGATCGTAATTATAGGATGTCAAAGTCAGAAACGGCCTCAGTTAGTGTCTGCTTTAAAATAAAAGCATTGGTGTATTGAATGGTGGGTCCTTGCTTTTTTTTTTTCTGGTTTGCTGCGTTAATTTAGCACCATCCACATTCTGTGGCCCCTGAGTAATTGTAAAACCCAGGGTGGAGGCTCTGCCTGGGAGGGCACTGAGAGGGCCCTGGCCCAGCCCAACACTCCCATGCTCAGGGCGATGAGGTCATGCTGGCTCCCACAATACAGGCACAGCAGGTTCAGTAAGAAAGAGACAGGAATGGGCCGGAGAGGTCAGGCATCCTAGGAGGAGGGAAACTAGAGCCTCGGTATATTAATAGATACCACCCCCTTTAGCCTAATTTTCAAAGACAGTGATACAATGACTCCTCCAGATCCAGACTCGAAAAGGCTGGCTTAATAGAATTTAGTCCTGTGCAGCAAATGTCATCAGGAAAAAATCCATCTTGATGGCTTAGTCATTACAGTGGCTTCTGCGGCAGAATGGAACAGCCCTGGCAATGGGTATTAGTCACACACAAGAGATGACTAAGATTTGATTATCTCCTACAATGGAGGTTGAAAAAATGGCTCCCCCAACTCCCAAGTGTGTTTTAAGGTCCCTGGAAATTTCAGCATCATCACCACTACCCTAAAACTGGTATCACCAATCTGGGGAACAACTCCAGACTTTGAGTTAACACTATAGAATGGGCTTGCTTTTCAGAAAATACCTGCCTTTTTATTTCATCTGCCTGTGAGAGTTCATTGGCAAGCAATATTGTACAGTGCAGTCTCTTGGGAGAGATCGTCCTGAATTTATACTCTGCAACCATTACTCAGCTATGTGTCTTTGAGCAAGTTACTTAACCTCTCTGTGCATCTGGGTCAGCATTTCTAAAATGGGAATAATAATATCTACCTTACAGATGAATATTAAAAGAGGTAACTAGTACGAGGTGCTTAACAGTAAATGCATTTCAGAAAACAATTTTTTTTTCATTTATGAATTTCTGTTGTTATAGCGGGATAAAGTCACACCAGGGGAAAGAGGTTGACAGGGACAGACAACACTATAAATGTTAGCTATTATTATAATTCCAACCACGATTTCAAATAATCTTGTTCACCTGTCACAAAACTGATGATGACAGTTACAACACTGTCTGGGTGATTGGCGTCAATCTAGCATTTTACAGCTTCTGGGGGCATTTGTGTCTCCTGTGATTTACCTGCTCTTATCATTTGTCCAATTTTCGATTGGGGCAAGATACCTTTTCTAATCAATCTCAATTGAAACCTATCTTCACACATTCATATGACAGCAACGTCAAGGGTCTTAGACCTTGAGGTGGCCCTGGCTTGCAGATAGACACCATGTAGAATTTATAACCCCTTTGCAGTTAGCTCATTAGGGTCCTGCAGACTTTCTCTCTACAGTGTCTGTGTTTTCATAAGGACATGTAACACTTCTTTATCTTTTTCTTAATGCTTTAGCCATTTCCTATTTTTCCTACTTAGGCTCCCCAACTAAGGAGACATTGACCTTGAGATTTTGTATATAAACCACCATGGATCCCAGAGAGAAAACGGATAATCCAAGAAAAAAAAAAACTACACCCCGATTACTTCCACATCTTCCATTATATAGTTGTAAGTTGCATTTGTTCAGTCAGCCATTTACTATCTATTCAGCACTTACAATGTGTCAGAAAAGGCACTGGCATTTGTCCAAAGATGGAAAGACGTGGCCCTAGGCTCGAGAAGTGCACACCAATAGAGGACCTGAAGGAAGACAGACACTGCACTTGGCCAAGTGGCTGCAGGGACCAGGGGCACGCCAAGAAAAAGGAGCTGTGGGCGCTATATGCTGCATGCATTTTCTGTCTTAATGTTTGTTTGCCTTTTTTTTCCTATTAAACTTCTGGAAGCCAGAGCCATCCATGGTGCCTTCCTGGTTTCGCAGAGCTCCAGGGCCTTGTCCACCCTGTGGCCTGCAAGCAGTTCTTCCCTTGCATTCCGTATACCATGAGCTGTGTAGGGCCTGGGGAAATCAGGACACAGTTGTTTCGGCACAGCTCAAGTCTCTGTCGACTTCTTTTCCCTCGTGTGGTGGGTTCAAATTCAGACATCATCCTAATAGAGCAACAGAAACCTATAAATGAAAAAAAAGTTTTTCCAAAACACATTTTCAGAAAGGGTGCTAAGCACGTTATAAAAACTATCCCCTCCCCACCTTTTTTTTTTTTTTCAAGACACCCAGCCTGGAGTGCAACGGTGTGATCTCCGCTCACTGCAACCTCCGCCTCCTGGGTTCAAGCGATTCTCCTGTCTCAGCCTCCCGAGTAGCTGAGATTACAGGTGTGTGCCGCCATGCCCGGCTAATTTTTTGTATTTTTAGTAGAGACGGGGTTTCACCATGTTGGCCAGGCTAGTCTCAAACTCCTGAACTCAGGTGATCCACCCACCTTGGCCTCCCAAAGTGCTGGGATTACAGGCATGAGCCACTGCACCCCAGCCCAAGTTATCTCTTTTAATGATCATAACAAATCTCTGAGGTAGATATTATTATCCTTCTTCTAGAGATGAAAAACAGAGGCACAGAGAGGCTAAGTAACTTGCTCTAAGTCACACAGGTGATAAGTGAAGTTTCCAGATTATGAATCCAGGCAGGCCTCTTACCAGAGCCTGGCAATATACAATATTGTTTATCCATGAAATCTCACTGTTATATAGATGAAATTTTAAAAACAGAGATGGTGAATTCACTTATTAGACTGGCAAAGATTGGGGAGCCAAATTATGCGCAGGGTGAGAAGGGCCTGGGGAACGGTTTTCTCTGCCATCCGTGTAGATAAATAGATAAGGTGATGAACATCCATTCCTCCACTCCTAACAAAAGTCAGAATTTGTTCGGGTAGCCACCTATCTCCAGTTCCAGAGAGCAACTTGAGTATTTCAAAGCAGTGTTTTTCAAATTGTAGGTCATGATCCCCTGGTGAATCATGAAGTCTGTTTAATGGGTTACAGTACAGCTAGTGTTTTTCTTAAAAAATGAAATTGAGGAGAAAATGGAGTTTATGGTAGCACCTTTCATTTGGAGTTCTGGCTTCTATGAGAAAACAAATGTCTTTATTACGGAAGCCAATCTGTGTTGAGATTGTTGTTCCTTTGCAGCTGAAAGCATCCTGGCTGATTCACTGGCAGTGTGAACTGTGTGATATATTTCTGGAGGGCAATCTGACTATATGTGTCAAAAATTTAACTGAGCATACTCAATAATACCATTTTTAGGGATATATTTCAAGGCAGGAAATGACTGGGTGGACAGTGTACAAGGATGTTCATAGAATCAATATTTTTAATGGCAAAAAATTAGAAAACATGTAAATAATCATCAACAGAGATTCAACTATATCGTATTCTACATTTTATACAACAGAATGCTATGCAGCCCGTAAAATAAATTGATAAGACTTAGAAAGTAGCAAATTGGGCCAGGTGTGGTGGCTCACGCCTGTAATCCCAACACTTTGGGAGGCTGAGGGAGGCAGATCACTTGAGGTCAGGAGTTCGAGAACAGCCTGGCCAACATGTTGAAACCCCGTTTCCACTAAAAATAAAAAATTAGCCAGGCGTGATGGCACGTGCCTGTAATCCCAGCTATTCGGGAGGCTGAGGCATGAGAATTGCTTGAACCCAGGAGGCGAGAAGCAGAGGTGGTGCTGCTACACTCCAGGCTGGATGACAGAGGGAAACTGTCTCCAAAAAACAAAAAAGCAGCAAATTGCTCATATCATGTATTAGCATGAAAAACTAGAAAACAGTCAAGCCAATGAGTTAAAATGAAAAGTTAAGACACCTGTGATTTTTGCAATCACTAATGTATGATTGATACAGGCAACAAGCATCATTAGATGCAGATGCTAAAACCACTGAGTAAGTAGGAGCAGGATGCTCATACGGTTTCAAAAGACCACCCCGATAGAGGGAAAAAAGAATCTTTACATGTGGCAGAGGCCACTTTAACCAAGTAGTAAAACTTTGCATTCCCAACAATGGGGCAAACTCACACAGTGAGCCTCTGATGCCAAGTCTCAACATCACTTTGATTATATCCTTGTCAGAAAGATTTAACCAGAATCTAGTCAAAAGGAAACAGACAAAGCCATATTGTAGAGCCTTCCACAAGATAATTGGCTTGGACTAAAAAATGTCCATGTCACAAACAACAACAAAATGTGACAGGGAATATTCTGAGCAGTGATGAACAATAGAAATGTAATGCAGGCAAAAGTGGAATTTTAATATTTTTAAAGCCACATGAAAAAGTGACAAGACAGGTGAAACTAATTTTTAATAATGTATTTTGACCCAACGTAATCAATGTATTCTCATTTCAACATGCAATCAAAATAAAATTTGAGTATAGAATATATGAAATTGAATATTGAATTTAAAATTTGAATATTTAAAATTTGAATACTGAGTATAAAATTTGAATATCTGTGTATTAGATAATATTACTGTATTGATGTTAAAGTTGTTGGTAATTATTATGAACTGAACGTTTGCGTTCTCTCACAATGCATATGTTGTGGGAGTGTAGTGTAGTGTATTGGTATTTGGAGATGAGACCTTTGGGAGGGAAATATATTTAGATGAGGTCATAAGGGGCAGGACTCTTGTGATGGGATTAGTGTCCCCATAAACAGAGGAAGAGATGTCAGAGCTTTCTCTCTGTCTCCACCACGTGAAGACATAGTGAGAAGACAGCTGACTGGGTGCGGTGGCTCTTGCCTGTAATCCCAGCACTTTGGGAGGCTGAGGCAGGTGGATCACTTGAGGTCATGAGTTTGAGACCAGCCTAGCTAACATGCTGAAACCCCATCTGTACTAAATACACAAAAATTAGCCGGGTGTGGTGGCGCACATCTGTAATCCCAGCTACTCAGGAGGCTGAGGCAGGAGGATCGCTTGAACCCAGGAGGTGGAAGCTGCAGTGAGCCAAAATTGCGCCACGGCACTTGAGCCTGGGTTACGGAGCAAGACTCCATCTCAAAAACAAACAAACAAACAAACAAACAAACAAACAAAAAATGTGCTTGCTTTGGCAGCACATATACTAAAATTGGAAGGATACAGAGAAGATTAGCACGGTCCTTGTGCAAGGATGACACGCAAATTCCTGAAGCGTTCCATATTTTTAAATTGTTCTACTATAAAGACACATGCACACATATGTTTATTGCAGCACTGTTCACAATAGCAAAGACTTGAAACCAACCCAAATGCCCATCAATGATAGACTAAATAAAGACAATGTGACACATATACACCATTGAATACTATGCAGCCATAAAAAAGAATGAGTTCATGGCCTTTGCAGGGACATGGATGAAGCTGGAAACCATCCATTCTCAGCAAACTAACATAAGAACAGAAAACCAAACACCACATGTTCTCACTCATAAGTGAGAGCTGAACAATGAGAACACATGGACATAGGGAGGGGAACATCACACACCGGGGCCTGTCGGGGGTGCTAGTGGAGGGATAGCATCAGGAGAAATACCTAATGTAGATGACAGGTTGATGGGTGCAGCAAACCACCATGGCATGTGTATACCTATGTAACAAACCCGCACATTCTGCACATGTACTCCAGAACTTAAAGTATAATAATAGAAGAAGAAGAGGAAGAAGAAGAGGAAGAAGAAGAGAGAAGAAGAAGAAGAAGAGAGAAGAAGAAGAAGAAGAAGAAGAAGAAGAAGAAGAAGAAGAAGAAGAAGAAGAAGAAGACGACGACGACGACGACGACGACGACGACGACGACGACGACGAAGACGACGACGACGACAACAACAGCCATTTGCAATCTGTAAGCCAGGAAGGGGGCCCTCACCAGGAACTGAATCAGCTGACACCTTGATCTTATTACACCTTCAACCTCTGGAATTTTGAGAAATAAGTGTGTGCTGTTGAGGTCACCCAGTCTATGGCATTTTGGTATAGCAGCCCAAGCCTACTAATATGGTAATAATAGTACTTTGTTCTATAGGAGAATGCTGTTATTCTCAAGAGACACATGCTGAAGTACTTAGGGTCGACTCATGATATCTGCAACTTACTTTCAAATGCTTAAACAAATTATACATAGATGATAGGTACCTAAATAGAGATAGAGATACAGCAAGCAAAGAAGCAACTATTAATAATTGGTGAATCTAGGAAAAGGATATTCGGGTGTTTACTAGTCCAACTTTTTTCAGCTATGAAATTTTTATTTTATGTTTTATTTATTTATTTATTTTTTGAGACAGAGTCTCACTCTGTTGCCCAGGCTGGAGTGCATGATCTCGGCTCACTGCAACCTCCGCCTCCTGGGTTCAGGCGATTCTCCTGCCTCAGCCTCCCGAGTAGCTGGGACTACAGGCACACACCACCACGCCCAGCTAATTTTTGTATTTTTAGTAGAGACGGGGTTTCACCATGTTGGCCAGGAAGGTCTCGATCTCTTGACCTCGTGATCTGCCTGCCTCGGCCTCCCAAAGTGCTGGGATTACAGGCATGAGCCACCGCGCCTGGCCAAAATTTTCTAAATAAGAAGTTGGAAAGAGTAAATAGAGTAAAATGATCTGAGAGAAAAAGAATCCAAATAATAACATTTATACTATTTTATAGTTTACAGTGTATTTTCACGTATATTAATGTGATCCTTTCAAATATCCACGGAGGTAGACATATCGTGTGTTTTATCCTTATTTTGTAGTCTTCAAAAACATTTCCTCAGTGCCTAACCATGTGCCAGGCATGGTACATACATCATCTCTTTTACTTTCTACAAGAACTCCAGAAGGCAGATATCGGCTCTCCCATCCACGGAGGCTCTGGTGGGATTCCGAAGCTAGCAATCTGCAGAGCTGGCATCTGAATGCAGCTTTGTCCGACTCTGAGGCCTGAGCTCATCCCTCTGTTGGCATCCTGTTTGTGATTCCTGTTTTACAGATGCAGGAATGGAAACTCAGAGAAGTTAATTAACCTGTGCAGTGTCACACAGCTACTCGGGGCAAAGCCAAAATTCAAGCCAGAACTTCAGTCTCCTATTCCAAAGCTCGGACCTCCTTCCAAAGCGCCTGTAATGAGCACTCTGGAAATAGGTTCAGGATCTAAGCTAGTGGCTCATGTGAGAAGAAGTCTCAGCACACAAGGGCCCTCAGCACAGGAAATTACTCAAGTTATTGGAGTGGAGCCAGGGAAAGGCCCCGAAGCTCAGAGCAGGCCTGACTCGGGAGACAGTTTGTGAAAATAAAAGCAAGCCCACATTGACTCATTCATTTGATGCTCTGATTAAGAAGCATGAGTTGCCACACCATGTGATGGAGAGCTATAAACTCCAGCCCTGGAGACATAATCTGGCACAGATTCCCTTGGATGGGCAAACGGTATTCAGGCAGGACTACCATTTCCGGGAGGGGGAGACCGGGGGAAGCAGGTCAGGACTTGAGGCTCATAACCATGCTGCACTGATTTGTTTAAAAGTAAATATTATTTGGTTTTCATTTAATTTTAAACAAAATTTAAATTTTTAAATGAAAATTAAAATGTTCACTTAATTTGAGTTATTAGATTAAAAGATAGTCTGCTTTACTGAAAGTCTTAGGCTGGAAAACAACAAAGTCGTTTGTGAAAATATTTAAATAAGAAGAGAACAGCAATCATAACAGGAATCTAAGGGGACTGTGAGTCTTGCATTGGCACATCTCAGCGCGGTGGAGACTTCTAAAGAGGGCTCTATGGATAGAGTCCTTCAGGGACCACCACCCGCCCCCATGCCCAACGCTGAGGAGGACACTCCAGCAGGGATCCACCAGGTGGCTGTAAAGCTAAGAAGGTGACCTCCTGGGTGTCCCTCCTGAAACACAGAGCACCGTTTGAACTGCCCGAGCGAGCGGACCAGCTGGCGCACAGATCACAGAGCCCTGCAGTGATCAGCTGCCATCTGGATCTGCCCGGGTGCAAGCAAACGGCACAGCTCTGGAAGCTTCCTCAGGGCTCCAAGAGAGCATCTGCGTGTTGGGAAGCCTCGGATGTGCTGCAAGACCTTTGTTCTGACTGTGGCAAAGCCTATGTATGCTAGGTGTCACATTGAATTCTTTTCTATTAATAATAACTTATCTGAGATTCTGCGCGACTGTCGCTCTAGAATCTGCATTTAGGAATGATCAGCATCAGTGCTGAGTGCCTCGGAGTGGGACATAGATTTAGGCAGAGATGTGGGAAGCAGCCATCAGTGAAGGACGATGCTGTGATTGGTGGCTGGAACCCACAAGTAGACACCAAACTGCTAACAGGGTGGTCCTGGAGGTAGATGTCTAGGCAAGCAGCCAAGATCAGTCATTTAGAGTCCATGCAGGTCTGACTTGAGACAGTGAATTTTGTAGAACTCCATACTCATTCTGAAGTGATTTTGTTATAGGCAGTCAGCTCTACCAGAGGCCTTTGTCCAGACTATCTGAAAGGCACCCAATGCAAGGGCTGCAAACCTCAACAGCAGAGGACTTGTGCTGAAACCCTTCCGAATGCATTCTCTAGACTGGCCAACTAATGTGTCTTCTTTGCTGTCCAGCTCCAATCTCCATCAGGTTGTCTTTTTAAAAAAAAATCCAAGCCTTTGCCCTGCCAAGCACCAGGAAAAGCATGATTTGCACATTTGAGAGCTAACGAAAACAGTCCATCCGAGTGTCCTAGTGAATCTGCAGCCCAGATGGGCTCACGTTTCCCTGTGTACCCCACATGCCCACTGAGCCCCGAAGTGGTTGCCCAGACCCCTTACCCAGACCCCGGGCTGAAAGAACCTTGTGTGGTTTAATCTCAGAGCAGAGTCCTCTGAGCTGGAGATGTTTGATTGAGAGACTGCCGGAGGGGCCTCCCCCAGTCGACCCAAAGATATAATGCTGGTGCCACATCTTGTGACTTGCGGTATCGAAGACTGCTGCTGGCGAAAAGGAAGCCACAGAGCTTCCACCCCTCATAGGAGGTCAGTGGTCACTGTAATCAGAGGAGTGCTCTGTTCCATTTCAGTGACTCAATGGTCACATTATCCTTTAAAAATAAAAAAATTCACATGCCAGGCCTAATAATATTGCTTCTCTTCTCTTTCTCATTTTTCCTCTCTTCCCTCTACCAGACTCTCCCTTACCCTTTTCTCTCTCTCTTTTTATTGATGCGCAATTGACATAACATACCATGAACTATTATAAAGTGCACAATTCAGTGGTATTTAGTGCACTCGCAATGTCGTGCAATCACCACCTCTCTAGTTTCAAAACCTTTTCATCTCCCAGAATAACATCTGGTACCCATTAAGCAGTCACTCCCATTTCCCCCTCCCCCCGTCCCTGACAATCACAAATCTGCTTTCTACCTCTGTAGATTTGCCTGTTCTGGATATTTCATATAAAAGGAATCACGGAACATGTGTTCTTTTTGTGTCGGGCTTCTTTCACCTAGCACATTTTCCAGGTGCATCCAAGTCATAGCATGTATAATACTTCATCCCTTTTTTGTGGCTACATGATATTCCATGGTGTGCGTAAACCACAACTTGCTTATCCATTCCTCTGTCAATGGTTGCTTCTTCCTTTTGGCCATTGTGAATAATGCTGCTATAAACATGAGTGTACAAGTTTCTGTGTAGATATGCGCTTTCATTTCTCTTGAGTAATAGAACTAGGAGTGGAAATGCTGGGCCACACCTCTGTATGTTTAACATTTTGAGGAATTGCCAGACCGTTTTCCCTACTAGCTGCACCACTTTACATTTCCACCAGCAATGTATTAGGGTCTCTCTCTCTCTCTTTATTTCTCTCTCTCCTTTCTCTAACAAAACTAAATCAACAAAACAATTTGTTCATCCTAGACTGCTGAGTGTGCCAAGGGCATTTAAATGACCAGTCATTGTTTCACAGCAGTGATTCACAGCGTGGCCATGTTAAAAGGTAAGCCTAAGCCAAACAGGCCCCCAGCTGGTCTGCAGACTTACCCTGGAGGCCAGGAACAAGACCGTCCCTCCCTGCTGTAGACAGAAAAGACTGCACTGAGGGTGTTCTGCTCTGAGCTGGTTCCCCTGGTCTGCTGCTCTTCTCCACACATGCTGTCAACCGCAGTGGGCAGGTCAGCTTGGCTGGAAACCCACTGAGTAAAGAGGCCCCCAACCCTCCAGACGATGGGAAAATATATGGCAAAAGATGTCAGAGGTAGTTCAAGGAGCTTATTATAATGCAGAGAATTCCAAATCCACAAGCAAAGAGGTGGCATTTTATGGCTCGAAAGGACCTGGAAAGCTCAAGACTCAAAATCAGGCACAGGGTTAAAGGTGAGGAAATGGAGGCCCCTCCCAGGTCCAGTGACTGGAACTGGCTGATGAGCCGCAGAGGAGGCAGGGTGAGAAATCCGGTCCTACTGTGATCAGGGCAGCCCTGTTCCAGGCTTGTCCAATAAGACTCACGCCAGGAGCTTGCTCAAATGCAGATCCCTCGGGCCCTACCCAGACCAAAGGAGCCTGAATCCCTGGGGAGGGGGATCTGTGCTTTTAATGTGTCTGTGATAAGTTTAGGAAACATGCTGAACTAAAGATAAGGCCTATTTAACAGCAACAACGGTGCCTAATTCTTGATTTGAGTGATGATATACCCTTCATGTGAGTGAAAATTTGAAGTCAGCATTTGGGAATAATCATGTCTGTTTGGTATGTGGTTTCTGTTAGAATCTGCCTGAGGCTCTGATGATCCGGACAATCACAGTGTATGGTACACACACACACACACGCACACACACACACACACGCACTCACAGGGCGGGAGTGGGTGTTAGTGGATGGAGAGTTGCCCCACCTCTTTTAACCTCGATTGTAGTAACTAACCTCACTGTTCTCTACCTTGCTTTGAAAAAACATTTTTGTGCCTTATCTAATCTTCTAACAGTTATTAAGAAAGAAGCCTGCACAGTGGGTATTTTTAAATCCCTGTTTCACGGATGAATAAACTGATTCTATGAGGTTCAGTGACTTGCTCCAATTCATAAAACAAGATGCTTGCTCTTATGAGTTTGTGTCCCCCAAAAGATATATTGAGGTCCCCCAGTACCTCAGAAAGTGTCCTTATTGAAAGACAGGGTCTTTACAGAGGTAATCAAGTTAAAACGTGGTCATTAGGGTGGCCCCTCTCCAATATGTTTGGTGTCCTTATAAAAAGAGGAAATTTGGATACAGACACGTACACAGGGAGAATTCCACGTGAAGATGAAGGCAGAAATCAGAGTGATGCTCTCCAGGCCATCAAGGAATGCCAAGGATGACCAGCGAAACACCAGAGGCCAGGAGAGGGGTGTAGAACAAATCCCTCACTCCCTCAGAAGGAGCCCACCCTGCCCACATCTTGATCTCGTACTTCTGGCCTCCAGAACTGTGAGACATACGTTCTGTAATTGAAGCCACCCAGTTGGTGGTTCTCTGTTAAGGCAGCTCTAGCAAACTCATAGACTGGCCAAACTAAGAGTCACACCCAGATCTCTTCCACATCCATCGGAGACCAGTACACATTCCACAGCACCCCAACCATCTCAGGGAGCCCCAAGCGTAGCAGGTGATGGACACGTGAACAAATGCCCACCCAGTAGTTCCATGACGGGTCTGTGCAGAATAAACAGAGTAGACAGGGTAAGGGAGCTGGGGGATTTTAGAGGCAGGTCCCAGCAGATGCTGTCTGGATGTGCCCTTGTGCCCAAGCCGCTTCCAGGGTTATGGTTTAGGATGTGGCACACAAGGAGGACCCTAGATCTGACTTCACACACTGCAGGAGCAGTCCCATGGACGGTGGGGAGAGTGGCCTCAGGGAGGCAAACTTGCAGAGTCCTGGCTGCGTTCTCTCTCAGACAGGTCGCATGGTCTCCCGGGGCCTCGGTTATTTCAACTATGAAATTGAGATAATAATACTTACCTACCTAATGCAGGGTTATGCACCCGATGCCCATGTAAGGTGCATTTATTAGCTTTATGTCTGGGTGGAGGTGGTTTGCTCTTAGACTTTCCAAATTAGGTTCAGTCTGCAGAGCTTTGGAAATATGAGGATTTCAGGGCCCGTCTCGCAGAGACTCAGATTCCGCAGCTCTGAGTTGCTACCATAGGAAATACATTGAAAAACACTCCCCACCTGAGTCTACTGGGCTGCTGGGTTTGGCAACCACTAGGTTAATGCACACTGCTGTGGAAAACAAGAATGGCCAAGGGCTTGGGTTCAAATATGAGACAAGGCAGTTTGGAGATGCTGTCATTGAACTCATATAGTACTGGGCTGAAAGTGACATCAGAGCACAGATGTCAGGTATGTGTTGATGTACAAGGCTAGTTCCTATAATGAAATTAACACTCTCAGTAAGAGTGAAATGATCCTTGTTCACACACATGCATGTATCTGCGCACACACACAAACTCACATACACACATTCACCCATGCACATAAACACACATACATGAACACACATATACATGCGCAAGCGCGCGCACACACACACACACACTCAAAGGTGTCCCTTTGAAGGGTTGTGCTACCAATGAGTCTAAGAATTGGTATGAGCAGGTCTAGGAAGATCAAAAGAGATAACCCAGGAGACAAGGGCGGTGCTGGAGGTGGCTGCAGTTCTGTCTCGGGGGGACTGTAACTGAGGTGGCCCAGGCACAGCAATAGTCAGAATAAACATCACTGTGCAAGAGCCCAGAAAAATTCAGAGCATGGGGCACAGGGGATGCTGACGGCGGGAGAGGCACGAAAGCAGAACCCCGCAACAGAAGATGCTTAGGAAGACTTGTCACCATGAAATGACATGGCAGGCCTGGTGGCTATCTGGGAGGGGTCATGGGGACAGAGAAGAGGATGGGATGAAGAGCCATGAGCAGACCTGTCTGAATGGAAGTCAGGGGTGGACTGAGAATGCGTGAACAGGGCGCCTGGGTGTTGGGATATCTGATGGAGGTAGTTGATCTGGGAGTGTGAGGCTGAGCTAGTTGTGTAGAGATGTGTGAAGGATGACTGGAAGAATCATTTGGATATTTTAACTGGAGAGGGAGGTGGTTTAATATCTATAACAAACATGCTTAATTTCAGTATGTTTATTTTTCGCATCTGTTTACTTGCTGACTCAGTAACTAGCACTCTACCACATTTACCAGGTAATGTGTAGGAACTATAGGGAAGCAGATGTTTGGCTCAGTGTACTTTTAACAAAAGCCCAAAATAACTCTCTGTATATAGAATCAGCTGACTAATCTCCTGGGGCTGAGGCCCGTCTCTGTTAAGCGTCTGGAGATCAGAGCTGAGTTGGGCTTTGAATTCATTCTAAGTGGTGACAAGTGGGAAAAACCAAGACTAGAGCCTGCAACCACTGAGGCGTTTGACGTTTAAGGGTCAAATTAGAGAAGCCAGGTTCAGACTTCAAATCTCAAGGGTCAAGGCAGGTTAAGTCAAATGAGGCTGGAAGCAGGTGGAAAAGCCCAGGGTTGGAAGTCAGCACCTGGAGCAGAGCAGGAAGCGAGGGCAGGGTGGGGTCTGGAGGCAGGTAATGACTGAATGTTTGTACAAACATCCTGTGTGTGGTTGATGGGTGAAGGTAGCTTTAAATGTGCTGGCAGCACAAGCTACATAATTTATGGGGCGCAGTGCAAAATGAAAATGCAGGGCCTCCTTGCTCAAGAATTATTAAGAATTTCAAGACAGCAACAGCGGACCATTAAACCAAGTGTGGGAGCCTTCTGGGTGCAAGTCCTGTGCACCTGTACAGGTCGCTTGACCAGGAGGCCAGCCCTGTGCGCTGGCCAGTGGGGAAGAAAGGCAGTGAGCTCCTGCTGTATGTATTGAAGCAGAAGCTGCTGGCCACTGGGTAAAACAGCCCCGGGAATGCCCATTACGGCCAGTCCAGTGCTAAAATTCTTTCATTTTACCAGCTAAAAACACCCTGGGATTTTGTAGATGGCATCACATGGTCCAGACCAAACCGACCGAAAAGACAGAGCAAAGGACCCTCCAGGCTCATGTCTAACAACCCAATTGCAGAGACCACCCTGGACCCCCGCATCAAATTCTGCAGCCAGCCCTAGTCAAAGACTATCGTTCTGCTGCAGTTTAAACAGGACAGCAAGTACAGTAGCAACAAATGGCACAAACGGTCCAGGGCAGGTGGGGAACAGGAGTATGGCTCACCGCACTCATTACTTTTCTAAGGTTTCCAACACATTCTTGGCACCAAAGCTCACAGGCCACTTGTCTTTCTGGAAGGGTCTATTTCCCTTCTGTGACATACAACAATGTGGACAGGTGAAAACATGAAGAGTGACAACCCGGGAATTGGATTCAGGCTTTGATATTGCAACACTTCTGCCTGGGAACAGATCGGGGGGGAGATACATTATTCAATTACACTCAAGAATCTAAACAAACAATTTGCTATCCCTTTTCTTTCTGGAGAGATAAAAAAAGACGATCCAAAATGTTGAGGTTAGCAGCCCACAGGTATAGCTTAGAGGTCATACATCAGTCTTTCAGCTACCTGCATATATATATATATATATATATATATATATATATATATATACACACACATATATATATACATATATATACATATATACATATATATACACACACACACATAAATGTGTATGCCTCTGTATGTGTGTATCAATATGTACATATATACACATATATGTATGTGTATAAAACACTAGCGAGAGTTGCCATGGCTATGAAGACAACTTCAGTCAGTAAATATTTGTTTTGGAGAAATGTATTGTATTAAAGACATGCTGCAATGATTTCTGAGAAGAATATAACTTAAATGAGGAAATTGATCCCCACGTGTCTGCCCCATGACCAAGGGTCTAAGTCACCTAAATCAGCTCACTCCTCTCCCCCAGATTTGCCAAGTCACCAAATGCATAAAGCATATTTCTCCCTCATTCACACAGGGAGAGGGGTTGGGACGCTAGGTGGAAGACCACCAATCAAACACGCTAAGAGTGTGACCTTCTAGCACCTCCCTGACGACTTTACATTGGTAGTTGAAAGCCTCCATTGGTGAAAACTCACCTAAAAGGAGGTTTTTCCATCAAGCCGTCTTGAAGCCCTGCATTGACGGAGCTACAACCCACAATTTTATACACAATCTAGTGGGATTTTGACTTCAAAGTAAGGATCAGGGTGTCTTTAAAGTTTTCTGGGCTGGGCGAGGTAGCTCATGCCTGTAATCCCAGCAGCACTTTGGGAGGTTGAGGTGGGCGGATCACCTGAGGTCAAGAGTTTGAGACCAGCCTGGCCAACATGGCGAAACCCTGTCTCTACTAAAAACACACAAAAAATTAGCCGGTCCTGGTGGCGCACGCCTGTAATCCCAGCTACTCGAGAGGCTGAGGCACAAGAACCACTTGAACCCGGGAGGCAGAAGCTGCAGTGAGCCGAGATCATGCCACTGTACTCCAGCCAGGGCGACAGAGTGAGATCTTGTCTCCAAAAAAAAAAAAGTCTGTTTTCTGCATGAGTCTGTCTGACAGTGCCCAGGTTAGATAAATCAGATATTGAGACAAGAGACAAACAACCGTAGAGTGTGAAAGGGCTTTGTCAGGTTCTTGCTTTGTATTAAGCAAATGGTTATTTTATATATTGAAATGTTAATGATTTTTATAGATGCAGCATTAGTAATATTTCAGGACATTTAATATTTTATTTTTAAAAAATATTTTTATTTCAATAGTTTTGGGGTACAAGTGGTTTTGGATTACCTGGCTGAATTGTATAGTGGTGAAATCTGAGATCTTAGTACACCTGTCTCCCGAGTAGTGTGCATTGTACCCAATATGCAGTTTTTAATCTTGCATTTCCCTCCCATCCTCCCCTTTCTGAGTCTCCAAAGTCCATTATACCGCTCTGTCTGCCTTTGCATACCCATAGCTTAGCTCTCATATATAAGTGAGAACATATGGTGTTTGGTTTTCTATTCCTGAGTTACTTCACTTAGAATAATGGCCTCCAGTTACATCCAAGTTCTTGAAAAAGACATTATTTTATTACTTTTTATGGCTGAGTAGTATTCCATGATGTATATATACCATATTTTCTTTATCCACACATTGGTCGATGGGCACTTAGGTTGGTTCCATATATTTGCAATTGTGAATTGTGCTACAATAACCATATGTGTGCAGGTGTCTTTTTCATATAATGACTTATCTTCCTTTAGGTACATACCCAGTAGTGGGATTGCTGGATAGAATGGTAGATCTACTTTTAGTTCTTTAAGAAATCTCAGGCTGGGCGTGGTGGCTCATGCCTTTAATCCCAGCACTTTGGGAGGCCAAGGTGGGAGGATCACCTCAGGTTGGGAGTTCGAGACCAGCCTGACCAACATGGAGAAACCCCGTGTCTACTAAAAATACAAAATTAGCTGAGTGTAGTGGTGGGCGCCTGTAATCCCAGCTACTCAGGAGGCTGAGGTGGGAGAATCGCTTGAGCCCGGGAGGTGGAGGTTGTTGTGAGCCAAGATCGTGCCATTGCACTCCAGCCCGGGCAACAAGAGTGAAACTCTGTCTCAAAAAAAAAAAAAAAAAAGAAAAAAAAAAAAGAAAAAGAAAAAAGGAAGAAAAAAAAAGAAATCTCCATACTGCTTTCCATATAGGTAATACTAATTTACATTCCCACCCGCAGTGTATAAGCGTTCCCTTTTCACCACATCCATGCCAACATCTATTGTTTTTTGACTTTTTAATAATAGCCATTCTTGCAGGAGTAAGGTGGTATGTCATTGCGGTTTTAATTTGCATTTCCCTGATGATTAGCAGAGTATTTTTTCATATATTTGTTGTACATTTGCATATATTCTTTTGAGAAATGTCTATTCATATAATTTGCCCACTTTTTGATGGGATTATTTGTTTTTTTCTTGCTGATTTGCTTGAGTTCCTTGTAGATTCTGGATATTAGTTTTTTGTTGGATGCATAGTTTGCAAATATTTTCTTCCGTTCTGTGGGCTGTCTGTTTACTCTGATGATTATTTATTTTGCTGTACAGAAGCTTTTTAGTTTAATTAGGTGCCATTTATTTATTTTTGTTTTTGTTGCATTTGCTTTTGGAGTCTTGGTCATAAATTATTTGCCTAAGTCAATTCTCAGAAGAATTTTTCCTAGGTTATCTTCTAGAATTTTTATGGTTTCAGGTCTTAGAATTAAGTCTTTGATCCATCTTGAGTTGATTTTTATATAAGGTGAGAGGAATCCAGTTTCATTCTTCTATAGATGGCTATCCAGTTTTCCCAGCACCATTTATTAAATAGGATGTCCTTTCCCCAATTTGTGTTGTTTGCTTTGTCAAAGATCAGTTGGCTGTAAGTATTTGGCTTTATTTCTGGGTTCTCTATGGTCTGTGTGTTGACTTTTATACCAGTACTATGCTGTTTTTGTAACTATGGCCTTGTAGTGTAATTTAAAGTCCAGTAATCTTATGTCTCCAGATTTGTTCTTTTTGCTTAGGGTTGCTTTGGGTATTCAGGCTCTTTTTTGGTTCCATATAAATTTTAGGATTGTTTTTTCTAATTCTATGAGAAATAATGTTGGCATTTTGATAGGAATTACACCGAATCTATAGATTGCTTTGGGCAATATGGTCATTGTTATGACATTGAATCTTCTGATCCATGAGCATGGGATGTGTTTCCATTTGTTCATGTCATCTATGATTTCTTTCAGCAGTGTTGTGTAGTTCTCCTTGTAGAGATCTTTCACATCCTTGATTAAGTATATTCCTAGGGTTTTTTTTTTCTTTTTTACAGCTGTTGCAAACAGAATTAAGATCTTGATTTGATTCTTAGCTTGGTGATTGTTGTGTATAGCAGTGCTACTGATTTGTGTACATCGATTTTTGTAACCTGAGACTACTGAATTGGTTTATCAAATCTAGGAGTCTCTTGGAGGAGTCTTTAAGGTTCTCTAGATATATGATCATATAATAAGTGAACAGTGATAGTTTGACTTCCTCTTTTCCAATTTGGATGTCCTTTATTTCCTTCTCTTGCCTGGTTGCTCTGGCTAAGGCTTCCAGTGCCACGCTGAATAGAAGTGGTGAAAGTGGGCATCCTTATCTTGTTCCAGTTCTCAAGGGAAATGCTTTCAACTTTTCCCCATTCAGTATGCTGTTGGCTGTGGGTTTGTCATATGTGGCTTTTATTATTTTGAGGTAAGTCCCTTCTGTGCCTAGTTTGATGAGGATTTTTATCATAAAGGGATGCTTAATTTCATCAAATGCATCTATTGAGATAATCATATGGTTTTTGTTTTCAATTCTGTTTATGTGGTGTATCACATTTTTTGACTTGCCTATGTTAAGCCATCCCTACATCCATGGGATGAAACCCACTAGATCATGGTGGATTATCTTTTTTGATGTGCTGTTGGATTTGGTTAGCTAGTATATCATTGAAGATTTTTGCATCTATATTTATCAGTGATATTGGTCTGTAGTTTTGTTTTTTTCTTATGTCCTTTCCTGGTTTTGGTATCAGGGTGATATTGGCTTCATAAAATGAGTTAGGAAGGATTCCTTAAAAAGAGAATAAAAAGCTCAAAGTTGCTAAAGTCCATTATCACATGAGTCTGTACCATAGTTCACAGACATACACATGTCACAGCCAAAATCATGTCTACTCAAGGAGAAGTTGTCACTGGGAATATAACATGATTAGCCTATACAGCTAGTGTTACATTTGACATCGAATGAGAATAAAAAATAAACAATGAATGCATTTTTAAGAGAAATCCTCTACACTGAAAGAGAGGATCTGAAGGGGTTAGCAAACTGTGGCCCATTGGCCAAATTTAGTTCCACACCTGTTTTAGTGTGGCCTTTAAGCTGAGAATGGTTTTTATGTTTTCAATTGTTTGAAAAAAATCAAGGGAAGCATACTATATCATGACACACAAAACTGAAATGAAATTGAAATTTCAGTGCCACTACATACACTTTTGCTGGAACACAGCCATGCCTGTTCATTTAGGGATCGTCTACAGCTGCTTTAGAGCTAGAATGCCAGAGATGAGTAATAGCGGCAGAGACCGTAGGGCCTGCAAAGCCAAATATATTTAATATGTGGCCCTGTAAGGAGAATTTTGCTGACCTCTGCTCTGGAGGATGGAAAGTACTTCCAGATGAAGCTGGACTATCCTAGGGACTCGGGGTCCAGGCTAGGACTTCTTGATAAAGCCACCCTACAGAGAGAGGTTCATCAAAGAGAGAATATAGTCCTGCACCCCAGACGAGCCTGCTCCACTGAACAGCAAGGACAGGAGGCAAACTGCCAGGAGAAGCCAGAGAGAATGAGGGGCTGAGAGCACCTGGGACCATAGCTTCTATGAGTGACAACACCTTTCATTTGCTCTAACCCTCACCCACATTATCCACTTCTGTAGATACTCCTGATAAGTCAATGTTCCAGGTATATCCAAGTCACAAGAGTGGAAGGATGGAAGCATTACTGAGTTAGACCTAGTATGTGCTGGATGTTTAAATGTTAATCTTCCTCACGACTTTCCTATCAGGTAGGCATTATCATCTCCATCTTTCAAGTGATATTAGCTTGCTTTTTTTTTTTTTTTTTTTGAGACGGAGTCTTGCTCTGTCACCCAGGCTGGAGCACAATGGCATAATCTCGGCTCACTGCAACCTCCACCTCCCAGGTTCAAGCCATTCTCCTGTCTCAGCCTCCCGAGTAGCTTGGACTACAGGAGCACGCACGCCACCATGCCCAGCTAATTTTTTTATTTTTATTAGAGATGGGATTTCACCATGTTGGCCAGGATGGTCTCGATCTCTTGACCTCGTGATCCGCCTGCCTTGGCCTCCCAAAGAGCTGGGATTACAGGCGTGAGCCACTATGCCCCACCAGCTTGCATTTTTTTTTTCTGAGTGATTACCATAGTCCCTGGCATTATTCTGTGAGCTTTACATAAATGGAGTCATTTAATCCTCGCAACGATTCTACAGAGGTCATCAGGGCGACATGGGCTACGTAATTTGCCCAAGGTTGCTAAAAAAAGAACACACACACACACACACACACACACACACACACACACACATATATATAGTTGTTGTTGTTTTTTTTTGTTTTTGTTTTTTGTGGGGGGTGTAAACCAATTTCCTTCAAGGCCTGCTATCTGTCATGTGATGTTATACCAGAGTCAGGTTGGAATTTGGTATCTTATTGTTACAAAGAGTCTGTTTTATCAGTCTTAAGAGCGTTAATGGCATGTTAATGCTGGTCAGCTGTGCCTAAACTCCAAAGGGAGGAGGGTAAATGGGGCACGTCCAACCCTCCCTTCCCACATGGCCTGAGCTAGTTTTTCAGGTTTGCTTGGATCCCCTTGACCAAGAGGACAGTCCGTTCAGTCATTTGTTGGGGCGGGTGGGGAGGTGTTTGGATTTTTTTTTTTTTTAGTTTATAAGAGGAATAGTCACTCGGTTACTATTTTTTGCACGACAACGACTAAAAAGACAAACTTCCTCTGATAAATGCGGTTTATCAAGAGAGAGAAATAAACACACACAGAGAATGAACTTCTTTGGCTCCAAACTGGATAAAACATTGGGAGGAATTTTTAAGATTAATATTCTGTGTGTAAATACATGTTCATAATAATGTTTGATTCAGGTGGCAAACACAAGTGCTCATTCTAAAGAAAGGCGTCAACGTCAAACTCAGTTTGAAAAGTTTGCCAGGGACGCAAGACTCAGCACCTCGGGCTCATGCAACTTGTATCTGCCTAAAATGAATTGCAGCTTGTCAGGAGCTACTTGGAAGAACAAAATGATCTAGAAGACCAGATGCGAAAGAGAGCAGAAGAAATCACTCTTGTTTTGTTAAGCTTCAGGGAGTTTGACTTAGCGGGTGAAGAAAGACTGAACCCCAGGTGGCAAGAGAGAGATGGGTCCCTTCGCTCTTCTCCCTGGACAACTGAACTTTCTCACACTCTCTCTAACTCCCACCTGCAGCCTGCAGTGGAGACTAGAGATGCCCCAACGACCTTGCTTTGAAGACTGAGATGAAGAATGAATCGTTAGAGGCACTTTGCAGGTGTGTGAGTGCTACACCGATGCGAACAGGGACACAGTACTAAGCTGGCAAAACGTGTGTGTAAATAGCATCTGGGAGGAAACTGCAGTTTACAATCCTAAAGGGAAGGAAAAAAAAGAAAGAGATCAGAAGCCAATAAGGGGCTGGTGCAGTGGCTCATGCCTGTAATCCCAGCATTTGGTGGATCACCTGAGATTAGGAGTTCCAGACCAGCCTGGCCAACATGGTGAAACCTTGTCTCTACTAAAAATACAAAAATTAGCCGGGCGTGGTGGTGGGTGCCTGTAGTCCCAGCTACTCAGGAGGCAGAGGCAGGAGAATGGCGTGAACCCGGGAGGTGGAGGTTGCAGTGAGCTGAGATCGCACCACTGCACTCCAGCCTGGGCAGCAGAGTGAGACTCTTGTCTAAAACACACACACACACACACACACACATACACACACACAAAACAAGAAACCAATAAGGTGGCATTTAAGAGTGCTTAAGATCTGGTGTTCATTTTAGCTGGCTGCATTGCAAAAAGATGTGAAAGCTTTTATTTTATTTTATGAATACTTATTGAACAGCTACTCTGGGCAGGCCCTACTACCAGTTTCTGGGAGAACAAGATGAATTAGGCATGGTCCCTAATTGCAAGGGGTTCACAATTTAGCATCCTATGCAGATCTCCGTGGGGACAGCCCCAGGGGTTACCCTTGTTTGCTTGTGCTTTTGAGGTAGGCATTCAAGTGTAGACACTTGCAGCTGTGCGCCCTGCTCTTCCTGGGGGCCCGTCCTTCCCTCATTCCCCACCACACCGCAGGTGGGGCAGTTTTGGCTGCTCTGCAATCTCAACCGCAAAGAGTTGCTCCACCCTTTGTCCCGGCAAAACTCTGAATTGTCCTGTAATTATTGCCACACTGCAATCCGGTGCCATCTGATAAGTACAGGTTTCAAAACTGTGCTCACAATTCCTGCCAAAGCCATCCTGCCAACATCAGGCACAGACATTGGCAAACCTACTCGGCCTGGGCTGAGTTGAGCTAAAGGTGCCATGAAAATCTGGAGATGGAAACTCAGCAACCACCTAGAATAAGATCACCTGCAACACACACATGTACACACAATCACACACACACGAGTGAGCACACACCCTTTCTCCCTGGGGTTTTGACTCCGTTCCTTATGTGATTCTATGTCAAATGTGTAGAAAAAAGAAGCTGTCCTGAGCACAGCACATTGAAAAATAAACGCCAGCATTTCAATAGCTTTGCAGAGAAGAGATCCACAGAATAGCGTTGGGTTTCCTCTTGTTCTTGCATGGAAACATGATCAGGTGAGGTTTGTACTAGAGCATTCTGTAACCCCTGATCCTGGGGGCTGATCAGGAAGAGTCAGGTGTGGTGTGTTTAAAAAGTGAAAGCCGGCCAGGTGCGGTGGCTCATGCCTGTAATCCCAGCACTTTGGGAGGCCAAGGCGGGCGGCTCACTTGAGGTCAGGAGTTCGAGACCAGCCTGGTCAACATGGTGAAACCCCATCTCTACTAAAAATTCAAAAATTAGCCAGTGTGATGGTGGGGGCCTGTAATACCAGCTACTTGGGGAGCTGAGGGAGGAGAATCGCTTGAACTTGGGAGACGGAGTTTGCAGTGAGGTGAGATCGCACCACTGCATTCCAGCCTGGGTGACAGAGCCAGACTCCATCTCGAAAAAAGAAAAAAAAAAAAAGTGAAAGCCACAGGTATCCTTTGGCAGAGGTTGCCAGTAGCCTGCCTGTAGTTTGCTTAGGCATGTTCTGAACATGCAGAATGATGTGCTGGGACTAAGTTGAGTTTGGCAGTCATTTCAGGAAAGCAAAAAAGAGAAGAATGTTAATAACTAAGAATTTCCAAGAATGGGCTCTAGTTCCAGCCTTGCAATGGAGGCTTTACATGCGCTGGCCCACAGAATCCTTACAACCACTCTGCGAAGGGCTTACTGTTATGATATTATTAGTCGCATTTCACAGATGGGGAAACAGCTTCAGAGAATAAAGCAACTTGCCCAAAGGTCACATATACAGTAGATAATGGAGCTGAACTGGGAACCAGAGCTGTGTGATCCAGTGAAGGTGGCCACAGGCTGGTAGAGGCTGCCTCACGCCTGCCCACTGCCTCTTGCCACCATGCTTGCCCCTGCTGCCCCCTGGCAGTGGCAGATTTGCAGGCTGTGCTGCCCTGAGACAGCCTCATGGGGCAGAGGGAGAAGCTTGGAGGCTCACTGGCAGACCTAGTCCCAAATGCAGGGAGGAAGGAAAAGTAGATTCATTTCCTCATTCTTGGCAGCAAAATCTCCTTCCTTCCCCATTGTTTCTTGGATCTTTCTTTTTACTTTCACTTAAATAATCCTACACTTCAATTCCTGGCCCCCTATCATCCATGCAGACAAAGCTCCTCTTTTGTTTTATTCATTATTTTTTCCCCGTTCCCCTTTCGAACTTCCATTCTCACTTCCGTTAGGTTTACATGCTAACTTGTTGATATACATGTCCTTAGACATGTGTTTACCTGAACTATGTATAGCAGCATTTTGCATACGTGTTTTTAAGTTTCATAAGTAATATGATGCCATTAATTTTATTCTATGCCCTTCTTTCAATTGACTATGTATTTTTTTTGCCTTTGCCAAAATAAGACTTTATTTTGAAAGTCATTTGAAGGACACTGAGAAAGACAGGAGACCTTAGATTCAATGGATGTAGATTCCAACTTTGGATTCTTGCCTGCCTCACTAATGGTCTCTGTTAGGCTGGAAAGGTGCTTTCTTTGGTCATTCCAATTTTTAGCTTGCTGGAGAAAACATCTTTTCCCAGAAGCCATCTTCTTCTTTTGTGTGTGTGTGTGTGTGTGTGTGTGTGTGTGTGTGTGTGTGTGTGTGTGGAGTAGAGCTTTATTTTCAGGAAACAGTATGTTAGTTGGAAATGGGTATATATATATATATATATATTTTTTTTTTTTAAATCAAGGTAGTTCTAATACATTCAACAGAGTGGGGTGGCTCAGCCAGAGGTGGCGTGAAAAGGTTCTCTATTATTTGCTTAATATCCTGCTACAACCAGAAATCCCCACCCAGGAATATAGTTCTGTACAAAGTTGTTCTGTCTTTGCATCATAAATGCTAATCAATGGTCAATTGACTATATTTTTAAAGTCTATTCATATACTGTTTGTAAATCTAGTTTATGACTTTTTTTTTTTTTTTTTTTGAGACAGGGTCTCACTCTGTCACCCAGGCTGGAGTGCAGTGGTGCCACCATGGCTCACTGCAGCCTAGACTTCCTGGGCTCAACAACCCTCCCTCATTAGCCTCCACCAAGTAGCTGGGACTGCAGGTGTGCACCACCATGCCCAGCTAGTTTTTTTATTTTTTGTAAAGATGGAGTCTCGATATGTTGCCCAGGGCTGGTCTCAAATTCCTGGCCTCAAGTAGTCCTCCCCTTCAGCCTCCCAAACTGCTGGGATTCCAGGCATGAGCCACCGAACCCAGCCTAGTTTATTACGTCTGACTGTGCAAAGTATTCCCTGCCTGCTTGTCTTCCTATACCCCTTCACTTACTGCTCCCTGATGGGTGTCTGTGTGTGTGTGTGGGGGGGGTGTGGGGATGATATTTGTTCATTGTCTGTTAGTACTCACTAAAATATATGTTCTATGTGAACAAGGAGTTTGTTTAATTCACTGAGATCACCACAGCTCTTAGAGTAGGAGCAGTACCAGCCCATGATAGGTTCTTGGTCAATATAGAATAAGTGCCTGAGTATCTGTCCACCACATTCTACGTTATCGCTTTCTCTAACAGGGTGGTCTTTTACCGCCTGCTACATAGACACCATATGGAGGAGGGTGGCGGGCTTGCGAGGTATATGCATATTTAATTCTCTTTTCTCCCTCCCTCCTCCACACCATTTCAGGGTTTTGTTTTGTTTTTTTTCAGTCTGAATTGCCCTTAGGCAGATAGAATATTTATGTCCTTTGAGGCCCGACCCTTGTGAACTATAAACAAAATCCTTGTCCAAAAAACTTTTGCTGAAGCACTTACCCTGAAAAGATATGCAGACCTTAGGTCACGCATTTTTTATTAATTTCAATCTGACATTCAAATGTCAATTTACGGAGTCCCTGCGATTGGTGGGGAAGGGGCATGAGAAGGAGGCCCCGTCCTGAAAGGCAGGGAGGAGTGTAGCAAAATGGGAGGAAGCACAGGAAGGGCGGGAGGGCTCGGGGCTGAGGGCCCGGGCGGCCAAACTCCAGGTGCCCAGCACCGGTGCCATGGAGTGCACAGCTTACCGATCTGTCTAGAAGCTGCTGGGTGCAGGTGTGTGAGGTACAGGATGTTTATAGTGTCAAAGTATCTCCCCACAGATGGAAACGAACATCATGCGCCTCTCAGCAGGATGCGCTGAGGAAGACAGGACTTGTGTAGCCTTCTGTAGAAGTGCATAATCTGAACGGGATCACAAGGAGCAAAATCAGACATGCCCAGATGAGGGGCATCTACACACTCTGCATTCTTCAAAAATGGCTCAGCGCGAAGGACAAAGCAAGGCTGAGGAGCTATTCCAGATTAAAGGAGACTCATGTGACCTGGCAACTGCACGCAACATGTGATTCTGGGTTGGATCCCAGAACAGGGAAGAACAATTCTTTAAAAGGCATTATAATGGAGTCAGTTGGGGAAATTTGAGTTGGATTGTGTATTTAATCATGGTATTGTATTAGTGGTACATTTCATGAATATGATCATTTTACTGTGGTTACATGAGTGAACCTCCTTGTTCTTAGAGGTAAAGGGTCAAAATACCCATAACTTAACCCTTAAATAGGTTAGCAAAAATGATAACTATAATGATGGTATATAGAGAGTAAGAGAAAGAAAAAAGAGAGGGAGATAAAGCAAACGTGGCAAAATATTAACAATCAGTGAATCCAAAGAGTATATGGAGTTCATTGTATTATTCTTGCAACTTTTCTGTAAGGTTAAAATTCTTTCAAAATAAGTTTTTAAAAAATGTTCATGTTAAAGTCAGGGGTAAAACCATGGAGACAGGTGTAGCGTAATAAAAGCAACGGCTAACACACACAGTGCTTTGCAATGTGCCAGGCAGTTTATACGTATTACATTGTGTAATCATCAAAGCCACCCTATCGGGTAGGTATTATTATTGTCATCCCCATTTTACAGATGGGGAAACTTTGGCTCCAAGAAGCTGAATATCTTAAATCAGCAAGGTCTTATAGCCAGTAAGTGGAAGAGCTGGGATTTTTTTTTTTTTTTTTTTTTTGAGAGAGGGTCTGGCTCTCTCACTTAGGCTGGAGTCCAGTGGTGCCATCTTGGATCACTGCAACCTCCACCTCCTGGGCTCAAGCTATCCTCCTGCCTCAGCTTCCCAAATAGCTGGGACTACAGGTGCATGCCACCACACCTAATTTTTGTATTTTTTGTAGAGATGAGTTTTCACTATGTTGCTCAGGCTGGTCTTGAACTCCACCGTGGCACAGCCACCGTGCCTGTGCTGTGAGCCTGTAGTCCTAGCCAGTTGGGAGGCTGGGGTGGGAGGATTGCTTGAGCCCAGGAATTCGAGGCTACAGTAAGCTGTGATGGCACCACTGCACTCCAGCCTGGGTGACAGAGTGAGATTCCAACTCAAAATAACCCAAAATAGCCCATTCCTGGCTACCGTGACAAAAGTCTCTTGGCACTCTCTCTGTCTCATCTCCCTCTGTCTCTACACACACCCACACACCCACTCATGGTTCTTTCGTTGTGAATCCCCCAGAGGCATCACTATATACAACAGCATAGCCTCTGCCTGGCCCCGATAACCACCCACCACTCTGAGAAGCTGCTCTGTTGGGGAAGATCTGGTTGCCATGAGTTCCTGTGACAACCACCCCAGAGGAGAGAACAGGAACCCTACTGTTTAAGGCAGATAGGTCCGATGCGCTATCTTGGACCCCAGTTGTTCCTTTAGGAACAGCTGAAGTTGGAAATTGTAAATGCAGTGCTGACCAGCAAGCAGTGGATGGGAAATTTAGGTCAAGGTGTTTACAAAAAGGAGAGAGCGAGGTCTGGGAAATCTGAAAACAGTTCTTGCAGCCCATCTACCCCAAACCAGTGCCAACTTCACTTAGGAACAGGTCAGAAGAAAGTGACCCAGGAATGGGGGCCTTTTTGGAGCAACTGGCTTAGTTAACCGGAAACGTTTCCAGTTTCTCTTCAGAGATTGGCTGGGATGAAGACACTGAGCTTCCTGCCCAGCCTGCTGGGCGCAGGTTGACGTTGGCTGGAGGAAGGAGAGGAGCCTAAGATATCCTTTAGAGGAGACACAATTTTGAAAAGGAGGATTCAGGCAATGAAAGTCTTAGATCCCTTTAGTGTGATTTTAAATTATTTTTAGGTGGCTACAAGTGAAATGTGAAACATCCTCTGTCACTTGAGGTAATACTATTAATTTCTATTTTATTTTATTTTATTTTATTTATTTTATTTTGAGATGGAGTCTCACTCTTTTGACCAGGGTAGAGTGCAGTGGCGCGACCTCGGCTCACTGCAAGCTCTGCCTCCCAGGTTCACGCCATTCTCCTGCCTCAGCCTCCCGAGTAGCTGGGCCTGCAGGCGCCCGCCACCATGCCCAGCTAATTTTTTGTGTTTTTAGTAGAGACGGGGTTTCACCGTGTTAGCCAGGATGGTGTCAATCTCCTGACCTTGTGATCCACCCACCTCGGCCTCCCAAAGTGCTGGGATTACAGGCATGATCCACCGCGCCCAGCCTTTATTTTTAATTTTTCTTAGAGACAGGGTCTCATTCTGTCACCCAGGCTGGAGTGCCGTGGCGTAATCACAGTTCACTGCACCTTCAACCTCCTGGGCTCAAGCCATCCTCCCACCTCAGTTACTTGAGTAGCTGGGACTACAGAAGCACCCCAGTATGTCTGGCTAGTTTTTAAATATTTTTGGTAGAGACAAGATCTCCCTGTGTTGCCCAGGCTGCTCTCAAACTCGTGGCCTCAAGAAGTCCTCCCGCTTGGACTTTCCAAAGTGCTGGATTACAGGTGAGAGCCACCTATTTACTTCAAATCTCACAGTATACGCTTAGCTGTCCCTTGCTGCCATACTGGCCGTGAGTCGTGACCTCAACCTGTTCTAAATTTTTAAGATGATTAAAGTGGACAGTGCCTCACGTAAACACCACCACCAGAGTGAATAACCAGGGGCCCAGCTTCCTCCTGAAGGTGCATTTATATGTTTATGTCAAATGCACAATCACAACCCTTGTGCATTATTGGACTGCCTGTATTAAAAGAGAATGTTTTGCTGAGAAGGTTGAGTGCCCTGGAAGGAAGTTGCTCAATCTAAGTGGAAACCAAACCCTAGCTTTGGTTTCCTCGGGAAATTTTGCAGTAACTACTTCTCTATAATTAGTGAGCGTGGGTTTGACCAAGCCCTTAGCCTAGATCCTGCCATAGTCCTATGTAGACATAGCAGTGCCCAGACCTAGAGCCATGAGACTGGTCATCTTTGTTATCCTGTAACCATGCAGGTGTTGAGTCTTAGAAGGAACCACCCAGTGTGGGAGTTTTCAGGTTTTTTTCTAAGTCTACAGTGGATTGAAGGGAAGGAGGAGGAGGAGGAGGAGAAGGAGGGGGGAGGAGAAGGCTGGGTTCCTAGCAGCTTTTCCGTCATGTACTGCACACAAGCAGGTCCACATTTGAAAGGAAGTCCTATGATCAAAAAAAAGTGGAAAGGAATTAACCACCATTGATTCCTCTAACTTTGCCGTCTTACTGATAAGGAAATGAAGATCCAGAGAGGTTAAGTGACTGGCCTGAGGTCATGAGTTTATGATAAATGGCAGAGGCTTCGGACCAGGGCCCGTTCTCAGTACTGCACACCAGTCACACTGATGACAGCAGAGTGACAGGTACTGTTGATAAGCCTCTCGATAGACAGACTGACAGTCAATCAATATCTACTGACTCCTACTATATAGGGAGCTTTATACTGGCTTCTGAGAGATACTCATGGCTTCTCTCCCACAAAGAGCTTACGTTATTCTGTGAGCCATGACACATGTTCAAAACATGTAAGTAACAGTGCAAAACAAGAGTGGTAGAGTGTCAGGAAAAAATGCCATAGGAATCAGCAGAGGGAGAGCTTTCTATGAGGAACCCTGGTGGGGGAGGTTTCACAGGGGAGGTGAGCCTTGGAGGATGTATTTCATTCACACAGGTAGAGGAGGGCAGCCCTTGGAGACACTGTGAGGACAGAGTGTCAGTGCAGAAATGGCAGGTTCTGTGAGGACATAACAGGGTGTCTTGGGTGGAGGTATTTCACACTAGGAAATACTGAGCGTGAAGGCTGAATAGGGGACTTGGAATGTAGCCATTAAAAGAGGATTTTGGCCAGGTGTGGTTGCTCACCCCTGTAATCCCAGCATTTTGAGGGGCTGAGGCTGGAGGATCATGTGAGTCTGGGAGTTCGAGACCAACCTGGGCAACATAGCAAGACCCTATCTCTACAAAAAATTTAAAAAATTAGCCGGGCATGGTGGTGGACACCTGTGGTCCCAGCTATTTGGGAGGCTGAAGTGGAGGATCTCTTGAGTCCAGGAGGTTGAGGCTGCAGTGAGCTGTGATCGTGCCACTGCTCTCAAGACTGGGTGACAGGGTGAGCCTCTATCTCTAAAACAAAAGATAGCTTTAAAAATGTATAAATAATTTAATTTTTTAAAAATGAAGGGGGAATTTAACCTTTATGCAATTATGCTCTACAAGGTGGTTGGGGAGAACAGGGATGAGATGACACTGCCTGGGGAAGGTTAGTGTGGCTGCAAGGTGCTGGGTACATTAGACAGCAAAGAGCTGTGGGTCAGGGAGTGGATGAGCACCCAGAACTTGGTGCTGGCAGAGCGAAGAGATCAACCCGTTGGCTTCCCCACCCTCATTCTCCTCCCAACTGACCTGCAAGTCACAGCACTGCAGTATCATGTCGACACTCACTGCTGGGTACGTAGCTTAGGCTTTCACCACCCCACCACCCAACCCGGTTTCATCATCACGCTTCTGGCCCTTGGTCCCACTTCCCTGCCCTACTTATGGCTACCAGAATTCTCTGGCTATAAAACCAATGGTACCATGTCTTCATGCTACTTTAATACTCAGGCAACTCAATGTCTGTAGGATAAGTCCACACACCTTTGTAGGGTAGACGAGGCCCTTCAATGCCTGGCTGTGCCTACTCATGTTCCCCTCTCACCTTGCACCCTTGGCTCCAGACTGATGACCTCACAGTTCCTCCTAAAAACAATGTGTATGACCCACTGTGCATTTCTGGAGCTGTACCTTTGCAAACAGATTTCCTTCTTTGCAGAAAGTCTTTTCCTATTTGCGTTCCTACCTTTTCTTTGGGACTCACTTCAAACATATCATCTACCATCTATCATCAAACATATCAGCTACCTTCAGGAAGCCTCCCTTCCTTGATGCTCAGATTCCTGGCACTGAGAGCCTGTTGGCTCTTCCACTGTTCCTGTTCTGTCTTCACTTGTTTTTTTATTATTTATTTATTTTTGAGATGGAGTCTCACTCTGTTGCCCAGGCTGGAGTGCAGTGGCGTGATCTCAGCTCACTGCACCCACCACCTCCTGGGTTCAAACAATTCTCCTGCCTCAGCCTCCTGAGTAGCTGGGATTATAGATGCCCGCCACCATACCCAGATCTTTTTTGTATTTTTAATAGAGACGGCGGGGGGTCTCACCATATTGGCCAGGCTGGTCTCGAACTCCTGACCTCAGGTGATCCGCCCACCTCGGCCTCCCAAAGTGCTGGGATTACAGGCATGAGCCACCGTGCCTGGCTCCATTTGTTTAAATATCTGCTTCCTCTGCAAGTGGTGAGCCCAGGACCTGATTCTCATTCTACGTATTCCCAGGGCTTGATGGGACTCATTGTTCATAGGAAGGAGCTTGATAGTTGTTTGATGAATGAATGAGCAAGGGAAAAAGGATAAAGAGGAGCGAAAAAACGAAGCCGGGTTTTGGGGGTATTGGAGCAAATTAAGTGGGGGATACCATGTGGAGATGTGGCCCCATCAAGACCAACCCTGTCCCAAGAATGGCTCAGGTTTGCCTTGCTGGGGTCTTTGCTCCACTGTTACCAAACCCCCCACCCTCTGAATTGAGCTATGGGTTCCAGGAAAGGCACCCCTGTCCTGAGTTGACTGCAGCGATCACAACTGCAGACAATCATGATTCTTTGAATCCCTATTTTGATGTTAAAGCCAAGAAAGAGCATTATAGAAACTCAGGAAGAGAAAATAAATTTAGCCATCATCCCACGACCCCGGTACAATTACTATTATTTTTCCATTTTTCTTCCAGTCTTTTTCCTTATGTCTATAGCTTTAATTATGTTTTTCTGTATGAAATATAAGCAGGAAATGGAAATTTTCTAAAGGACTTCTTTTATTTGCCTCCCACTGTTTTGCATACAATGGACACTTAACACATAACTTTAGGCAGACTGAGGCGTCTCCTGATGAAAAGCTTTTCTCAAAGGCCATGTGGTTGCTGCAATGAGCCTTCTAGAGGAAGCTGGTTATAACCTCTCTCCATCACGTCCAGCCCTCTCTTTCCCGCCTGGCTCACACACTTGCCTTCCTTTAAATAATATTTTTCATTCCTCCAATCAGTCATTTGATCAACAAACATTTAGTGGGCGGGAACTGTCCCTAGGCCCTGGGCTGGGCCCTGTATTTACCGCCCTGTGGTTCATCAGCCCTCAGCCTGGTGCATCCACGCTGGTATCAACCTGATGGCCCCAGAAGCTTCTGAAAACTCATGAGCTTTCCTGATGGTTTATCCCTCAGGCCTTCTCCAACTCAAACTAAGGTCTGCGTGTACCTTGGCCCCTTCTTTTGTGCTTGTTGTACCCAGAAGCAAAATAATTGTCTAGCTGTCCCAAGAACGGCCAACCGTTGAGATTGTGTCAGCGAGTCTTTGTTCAGTTCCTATAAAGGATGGCCTATTAGGTAATACATCCATTCCAGATGGAAAACAGGCCTTTCGAAAGCCCGAAATAACCTATTGCCACATCCCCCTTTGAGCCCACAAATGGTTCTTTCACTATGAAAGAACAAACTAACTAGAGCCTCAAAAATGTCTTTCCTAGCTTTAATAAGTGGGGATTCTGGCCTCGGGGTCATACAAGGATGATCACACATGAGGAAAGCTCAAATGAACAGAGTTATGCCAGAGATGGCTGGCCTGGGCAAAGCTGGCATTGCTCTCGGAGGGAAGCCAAGTTTTTCCAATTGTTATTCTTGTGCCATAGGGCAGATCAGCTGGGGTGGGCCGGTGAACGCTGCACTGTCACATCACGATGCTTGGAGCAAGGGGTTGCTTGAATGGAGGCAAAATGCTGCGTTGACTTAGGAGGAAATCATCTTAAACCCTGAGATCTGAAGAGCTATGTTTAGCTGGGAAGTGATGGAGCTCTTCAGCTTCTTCATAAACTCACAAACCCAGGATGAGGCTAGAAGAAAGTCAGATTTCTTATCTGCCAGAACTCTTGCTGGGAAAGATGTCACCAAGGTATTCCCCAACATTACCAGGCCTTCTGTAAAGCACCTTCTTCATGCTCCCGGGCCCATCACACACATGCACATACACGTACACACGTACACACACATGCACATGTGCACATGTATACATGTGCTGTTATGGGCTGAATCTCATCCCCTTCCCAAATTTATATGCTGAGTCCCTAATCCCTAGTCCTTCAGAATGCAACCTTATTTGGAAATAGATTCTTAAAGAGGTAATTATATCAAAATGAGATCTTGAGGGTGAGTCCTAATCCAGTCTAACCAGTGTCCTTATGCAAAGAGGAGATCAGGACATGAACACGCACAAAGAGAAGGCCTTGTGAGGACACGGAAAAGACAGCCATCTGCAAGCCCAGGAGAGAGGCCTCAGGAAAAACCAACCCTGCCAACACCATGATCTTTTAAAAAAATTATTCGTCTTTTTAGTTGAGATAAAATATACATATATAACTTACCATCCTTACCATTTCAATACCATGATCTTGGCCTTCCAGCCTCCAGACTGTAAACTAATAAATTCCTGTGGTTTAAGCCACGCTGTGTGTGACGCATCGTGATGATACCCAAGCAGACTGACATACACACTCACACAAGCTCACATATTCACACACGTACTAATACACACCCTCACCCAAAAACACTGACACACAGAAGCACTCACACACACAGATGCACTTACACTCGGTTCTCACCCTCCTGTGTCACCCACACAATCCTTATCCCCCCATCCCTGACACACACATGCTCCCTGAGGCCAGACACGTGGACTGTTGTGGCTCAGGACCTCACTGAGGCCAGTTCTCTTCCGGAGCACAGCAATGGTTTGCTGTCTGCTAAGATCATTCCTCTCGCTGGAACCTTGGGTCCGTCCCTGGGGCTCATTGCCTGGAGTGTGGCTTTTTGCATCCTCACATTTCCTGAATGCTGTACTTTGTTTTCCTGTCTCCCAGCTTGGATCTCCTGACCTTGGCCTGGACCTGGATCTGGGAGGCTGACTCTATTGACCATGGGGAAGGAGCTAACAGGATTGAACCTCAGGACCGTCCTCTGCAAAATGAGGAATTTAGGCTAGCACAGTGGTTCTCAAAGTGTGGTCCCCAGACCAGCGACCTCAGCATCGCCCTGGAACTAGTTAGAAATGCACATTCTCTGGTCCCAACCCAGACCTACTGAACCAGTGCCTCTGGGAGTGGATCCCAGAAATCTGTGTTTTAACACACGTGCTATCTAGGAGGTTCTGATGCAGGCCAAAGTTCGAAAACCGCTGAACTGGAAGATCTCTAAAATTCCTCCTAGGAGATAAACCTTTAAGACTTGCTATAAGAATTAAGTGCCATGATTATGGTGCATATTATTTATGAAACTTGTTCAATGTGCCCTGCCCTTCCTATTCATTATCTCTACAACCTCCTTCTAAAATAAGTATCAATTAAAAGTATTTTCCAAATGAGCAAAAGGAGGCCCGGAGAGGTTAAATAATTCATCAGGAGACACGCAGCTGGAGATGAACAGGAGGAGGATTTGAATGGGAAGCCATCTCAGTGTGCTCTCTCTACTACCTCCCATGAGCAAACACAGTGACAAGTGAACTCAATGAATATCATTTTCCGGTGATTCTGTGACCTTTGAGTACCTGCATCCTCCTACCTTAACCAACTTTGCCAGCCTCCTTCACTGCCCTACCTGATCGACAGTAATTTCCAGCTCTCTTCCTTCCCCCATGCTCAGCCCAACACCCAGCCCTGGCTTTCTCACCTTCCTGGGACCCCCTGCGTTCCACGGTAGTGAACAGAGACACACGACAGCCATTCCGTGGATCTACAGTGACTGTTCTCCTGGACACAGAGCCAACGTGGCTACTGAAGGAAAGAGGCCAGTCCTAAGTTCAGGATCTGTGACGGCCTGGAAAATGTACTCTGTCCCCCCACAACCTCCCGCTACAACCTCCCCCTAAAAGAAAAACTTTCTACAGGTGATGTTGAGATTGCCACAGGCTTTGGTCCTCACAGACTGCAAATACCTATGGGAGAAAGAATGCTTCCACAGAGGAGCGCCGAGGGGAAGGAGAGCACCTCACTGGGATGGGATGGGAGTGGGGTGACAGCACCGCCCAGAGGCATACAAGCTGGCCTCTCTCTGGTTTTGTGGAGGCGGCCCTTGCTGGTATCCTAGAGTTGTCTCCCTGGCCTGCTTAGCAACGCACAGCTCCTAGGGGCCATCACCCACTAGGAGGGCAGGGCCTTTTGTCTTTTTTTTTTTTTTTTTTTTTGAGACAGAGTCTCTGTCTATCACCCCAGCTGGAGTGCAGTAGCATGATCTCGACTCACTGCAACCTCCGCCTCCCGGGTTCAAGCGATTCTCCTGCCTGCCTGAGCCTCCTGAGTAGCTGGGATTACAGGAGTACGCCACCAAGCCCGGCTAATTTTTTATTTTTAGTAGAGATGGGGTTTCACCATGTTGGCCAGGCTGGTCTCAAACTCCGGACCTCATGATCCACCCACCTTGGCCTCCCAGAGTGCTGGGATTACAGGTGTGAGCCACTGCACCCGGCCAGATTTTTGTCTTTTTACTGTTGTATCTCCCCACATAGTAAGTGCCTAATCAATTGAGTTGAATAAATGAATTCTTGCCCCATCTACCAGATTCTACCTCAGGGGCAGCTTCACACACACATACATACACACACACACACACATACCTACACACACACACACACACACACACATACATACACACACACATATGCATGTGCACTCAGGCACACACGCATGTGCTCACTCACACATGTACTCATGTTCTGGGGCCGGCACAGAGGCTGGGGGAGAGTAAGGAAGTGGGGAGGGGCATCTTTGGCAGGGGAAGGGTGCTGGTAGGACAAGAGCAAAGCGCAGAGGGACTGAGGGGTGGTGAGAACGGATCTTCTCACAGTTGAGGCCTGTAAAAAAAAAGAAACCACACGGAGGCTGAGGGCAAAGTGCCCTAAATTGGAAGTCTGGCCTAAGATCTGACGATGAATGGTTTTCAAACTCTGGAGGCGGTCTGCTTACGAAAACTCTTGTTTGCACTGAGTATACAGAAAGGGCACTGAGTGGGGCAAAGATGGCCCCACATGCTTGAACTTGCCTGTGAGTCTGGACTCAGACCCAGTTGTAGGGTGGACCTGTGGGCGGGGCTAATTTTGTAGTGTCCAGAAGAGCACCAAGGGAGTTTTTGTGAATTGGACTTCCACCCTAAGCGATACTAGGTTTAGTTCCATTTTCCGTCTGGAGAGAAGTCCTTTGCAGCATTTCGTTTGGCGGAAGAGTTTTGCATAATATTTCACACAGTGTTCCTTGCACAAGCTTTCATTACCCCATGACCAGGCTAGGGACTCCCCGCCTTCTATGACCAGGTGAAGAGTGAGTCTCCTACTCCAAGCTCCCCCTGTTCGCCTGGTTTTGATGCCCTGTTTCAGTGCATCATCTGGTAATTTCGTGACCTGCAATCGGCAGAGTGGGCTCGACTCATCTTCTATTTCTATGCTGCCCACTGTGTCCTTCTGAAAGGGCTGAGCCCTGGGTCTGGTAATTTTGGACTGTCTGCAATTTGGAATGGGTGTGTCACTACTGCCCTCTAGAACCAGGTCTTGGTTATTGATTGCAGCTCCCAGAAAGGAACCCTGCAAACACAACCCTTGGTTAAGGCAGGCAGTCTGTCTTCTCCTTTTCAATAATAACTTCATGTTTGAGGTTAATAAGTGGAGGTTCTTTAAAGGGCACACAATTGAGGCCCCACACTCCGCTAGCTGCTTTCCCGTGAGAACTTCCAACAGGGCTGTGGTTTGCTGTTTATAGAGAAGGGGTGAAGAGCCAGGGCTGGAATGTGCATTATAAATGACAACGTAGGCCAAGCATGGTGGTTCACATCTGCAATCCCAGCACTTAGGGAGGCCGAGGTGGGAGGATTGCTTGAGCCCAGGAGTTTGAGACCAGCCTGGGCAACATGGTGAAACACTGTCTCTACTAAATATACAAAAAATTAGCTGGGGATGGTGACGCATGCCTGTAGTCCCAGCTACCTGGGAGGCTGAGGTGAGAGGGATCACCTGAGCCTGGGAGGTTGAGAACTGCAGTGAGCTATGATCGCACCACTGCACTCCAGCCTTGGTGACAGAGTGAGACTCTTTCTCAAACAAACAAACAAACAAAAGATGGCAATGTACAGTTGCTGGACAAACTGCCTCACTGGAATTCAACCTTGGAGAAGTGATGGATTTTTCTTAGTGTTGGCAGAGCCGTATGGTTAGCATGCTCCTCTGCCTCGTGTTTTCGTTTAAGTCCTCGTGCTTTCCTCCTTGTCCTAAAGTAGTCAGGGACCAAGTTGCACAGTCTCTGCATCCTCCATGATACCTGACACAGTGTCTGGAACAGAGAAGTTGCTCAATAGGGAATTTTCTTTCTTCTTTCTTTTTTTTTTTTGAGACAGAGTCTCACTCTGTTGCCCAGGCTGGAGTGCAATGGCTCGACCTCAGCTCACTGCAACCTCTGCCTCCCAGGTTCAAGCGATTCTCCTGCCTCAGCCTCCCGAGTAGCTGGGATTACAGGCATGCGCCACCACGCCTGGCTAATTTTTGTATTTTTAGTAGAGACGGGATTTCACCATGTTGTTCAGGCTGGTCTCGAACTCCTGACCTCATGATCCACCCTCCTCAGCCTCCCAAAGTGCTGGGATTACAGGCATGAGCCACTGTGCCCGGCCAAGAATTTTCTTTTTTTAGAGACAGTGTCTTGCTCTGTTAACCAGGCTGGAGTGCAGTGGTGGACCCATAGGTCACTGCAGCCTCGAAGTCCTGGGCTCCAGTGATCCTCCTGCTTTAGCCTCCCAAGTAGCTGGGACTACAAGCGCGTGCCACCACACTTGGCTAATTAAAAAACAATTTTTTTTTGTAGAGATGGGATCTATGTTGCCCAGGCTTGTCTCAATTCCCGGCCTTAAGCGATCCCCCCGCCTTGGTCTCCCAAAGTGCTGGGATTACAAGTGTGAGCCACCAGCACCTGGTCCATAGAGAACTTTACAGCGAGAGATGATTGATCTTCCTCCCTGACCTTGTGAACCTTCCCACTGATGCTGTGTTTGCCAAGTAGGGAATGCGGCTCTCCACTAAGTGTCGCCTGTAAACCCTATGGAGTCAGATTCTGCTGGCTCTGCACAGCGAGGACATGTGGGTTTCATTCTTGTATTCTTGTAAAGTTAACAATACAACTTATGGGGAATTTAATAGCTGGAAAGTTGTATCAGTCCTCTATAAGCCCTGGGTGAATCTTTGAGTAGCAAATGAATAAAACAGTATGGCAAAGGGAGTCTAATCACTAGTTAAGCCCTTGCTAAAATTGCCAACTCACTAAGAAGGTAGTCTTTTTACATTTTTAAAGGACTTGTTAACAAGTGAGCTGATGATACATTGGCCCTGGGGGAGGACATCAGTTTCTTCTTTGCTTGTGTGAAAGAGTTCTATAAAAATGAAATGCATGACCGACAACTTCTTACTTTTTCAAACAGAGGTATTATTCTGCAGTGGTATCACTGGGGCATAGCAATGGCAGGAAGAGCTTAGGACTCGGAGTCCTAAACCACTAAGCTCGTAGCTAGGATGATCACAAAAAACAGGTAAAAAACATTGTTAACAATGGTCTTCAACCTTGATGTCCAGCTTCTGGTCTGTACAGGGGGAGTTCCATGATCTACTCTTCCCCTGGAGTCACACAGTCCACTGGGGAGAGATGCCCAAGGCAGACCTTCCCTCCCCAACTCTTCAGGCTCTCCAAGTCCTCTCTCCAAGTTTGTTTTGCTTACGCCTGTTTCCTTTCATTTACCACTTTCCCTTTCAGGCCAGGGTCAAAGGAACCTAATGTGAAAATGTTTCAGTCTTTTGATGAAGTATTCCAGAACACAGAACTCCTTATCATACAGAACATCAAGTTCCTTTAAGATATGGGTTGCTATCTCCAATTCATTTTGGGAAGAGGTGAGGTATTAAATATTTATATTAATTAAATAGAATTATCCTAAAATAACATAAGTTGGCTTACCCCTGGGCAGGAAGTCTCATTTACAAGTGAGCACACCCACCTGTTGATACCCAGGGCCATCATGTCTGCCAAGCAAAATAAACTCCTTCATGAACAGACAGGAGCCACGCTGTTCCCTCTGTGCCCAGTCACCAGAACAAGGCTCTTAAATCCCAAAGATCGATCAGGCTTTTTTTTTTTTTTTTTTTTTTGACAGTTTTGCTTTTGTCACCCAGGCTGGAATGCAAATGGTGCGATCACAGCTCACTGTAACCTCTGCCTCCTGGGTTCAATCGATTCTCCTGCCTCAGTCTCCCGAGTAGCGGATTACAAGTGCGTGCCACCACGCCCAGCTAATTTTTGTATTTTCAGTAGAGACAGGGTTCCTCCATGTTGTCCAGACTGGTTTCGAACTCCTGACCTCAGGTGATCCACCTGCCTCAGCCTCCCAAAGTGCTGGGATTACAGGCGTGAGCCACCGTGCCCGGCCTTGAGCCACCATGCCTAGCCTTGAGCCACTGTGCCCGGCCTCAGCCAGGCTTTCTTTCAGGCCCTCGGTGTCATTTCGTTTATTTAGCTCTGTTCAGTGATAATGTAGATGTGATTCAGGAACCTGCCAGCAGCGCTGTGGACTCCCACCCAGCTGGGTGGATACACCTAGACCTGTGGCCCATCTGCTTTCCCTTTTTTTATTTTGAGACAGTGTCCCACTCTGTCACCCAGGCTGGAGTGCAGTGGCACAATCATAGCTCACTGCAGCCTTGACCTCCTGGGCTCAGGCAATCCTCCTGCCTCATCCCCCTGAATAGCTGGGACTACAGGTGTGCGCCACTATGCCTGGCTAATTTTTGTATTTTTTTTTTTTTTGGTAGAGATGGGGTTTTGCCATGTTGCCCAGGCTAGTCTTAAACTCCTGGCCTCAAGCGATCTGCCTGCCTCAGCCTCCCAATGTGCTGAGATTACAAGTGTGTGTCACCACTCCCAGCCTGTTTTCCTTTTAAAGAAGCCCTGGAAACAGTGGCCAACACTGCCACCACCCCTGGGTCCCCAGACTGGCTCTTGGCAGGAGTGTGAAGGTCTGATGCAGGATGGGGTGTCTTCTCAGAGACCCACAGCCACACTTACAAGGAAAAGTGGCTGCTTCTAAGATGGCTTTTGCATGGCAGGTGTTAGCCAATTAAATCCACAATTCCCACTGATGTACAATGTAGTCAATCACTTCAAAGCAACTGATTTACAATAGCCATTACCAGCCTCCCCAGAGCTGCCCCTGCCGTCTGTCGGGGACGCTGGCCACACTGGCCGATTGTCCAGCTGCTGCGTGTTGCCTGCTGTGGCCCCTTGTCTGGAGCAGCCACGCTTTGTTCCGTAACTCTCCTCCTGCTTCCCTCCCAACCCCAGCCATTGTGCATCGGGCCAGGGGGAAGGATGGCTGATCCAAGGAGGTAAGACTTGGGGCAGAAACCAGTGGGGAGCCGGGCTGTGCAGAAGGAGAGGGAAGGAGAGCTGAGTGGCAGGAGGCAGAGTGAACCCTGCTCATTGCGGAAAGCCAGGAGCCTTCTGAGCCCGTGGCCCTGAGCTCTGCTATCCTAATTTTCCTGGAGCTCCCATAATCCTTTTCTTGAGGTAACCAGAGAGGCTCTGTGCTCTTTGCATCTCCCAGGACACTGGCGACTTGGTGTTTCCTTCCCTGTAAGAGCTTCTCCCTGCAGTCGTTGGATGCTTGGGTGTTAGGGGTTGAATTATGTTGCTTCCCCACCCCAAATTCCCGTATTGAAGTCCCAACACCCAGGACCTCAGAATGTGACCTTCTTTGGAGATATGGTCTTTGTAGAGATAATCAAGTTGAAATGAGGTCTTAAGGGTGGACCTTAATCCAATATGACTGGTACCCTATTTTAAAAGTGGGGGAAATTTGGAGGCAAACAGCATACAGGGAGAATACCATATGAAGATAAAGACAGTCAGAGACACGCCAAGGAGAGAGGCCTGGAACAGATTCCCCATCATACCCTCAGGAGGAGCCAACCCTGCAGACACCTTGATTTTAGACTTCCAGCCTCAGGGTTGTGGGAGAATACATTTCTGTTGTTTCAGCTGCCCAGTCGGTGGTACTTTGTTATGGCAGCCTGAGTGAACTAATATGGCTGGTGCAGTCCTCTGCATGGTCCGGGGACCCTGGGGACCAGCTCCATCCTGCATCTTCAATAATTCCAGCTCTTTTGTCTCCAGCCCCAAAACAAAACCTTTGATTTTGTGTTTCATTTCACTGTGTTTTAAACATCTAAGGACAGTTGGCCGAGTGCGGTGGCTCACGCCTATAATCCCAGCATTTTGGGAGGCCAAGACAGGTGGATTAGCTGAGGTCAGGAGTTCGAGACCAGCCTGACCAACACGGAGAAACCCCGTTTCTACTAAAAAATACAAAATTAGCCGGGCGTGGTGGCACAATCCCATAATCCCAGCTACTTGAGAGGCTGAGGCAGGAGAATCACTTGAACGTGGGAGGTGGAGGTTGCAGTGAGCTGAGATAGCGCCATTGCACTCCAGCCTGGGTGACAAGAGTGAAACTCCATCTCAAAAAAAAAAAAAAAAGGACAGTTATAAGTTATACGTGCATAGTTTAAAAAGTCAATTCAAGGCCTCTGGGTGGAGCAGAGCACAGACTGGTTCTCTCTTCCCAGAGCTTCCTCACCAAGAGCAGGGCTGGAAAGCCCCAGAGAAGGTGAAGGAGACGTATTCAGGGGGAAGCAGGAGCTGCTGTAAACAGCCACCTGATTTGCTAAGAGATTCAAGTGCTTTACAATGGGACTGGAAAGTCCATGGTGTTCCTATAGCCTCCTTGTCAGGGGCAACGACAGGGCCAGGAGCAGACCCTGAGCTGACCAGACTGAAGAGAGTGGGTTGGAAATGAAGGTCCCACCAGACTGACCTGCTGCACCTCTCTGCTCTCGCCCCTGGGTGTCCCAGGGCACACAGAAGACCCTTGATGTGCAAATATTTGATGCTAATGATCCCAGCAGCAACGTGTTATTGCGAATATCCTGATGTGTTTATAGGCCAAATAATAAGGTGGCAGGGGCTGCCCACTCTCTCTCTGTAACAGACTGTATGTATGTATGTATGTATGTATGTATGTATGTATGTATGTATGTATTTATTGAGACAGAGTCTTGCTCTGTCACCCAGGCTGGAGTGCCATGGTGCGATCTCGGCTCATTGCAAGCTCCGCCTCCTGGGTTCACGCCATTCTTCTGCCTCAGCCTCCCGAGTAGCTGGGACTACAGGTGCCCGCCTCCACGCCCGGGTAATTTTTTGTATGTTTAGTAGAGATGGGTTTTCACTGTGTTAGCCAGGATGGTCTGGATCTCCTGACCTCGTGAACTGCCCGCCTCGGCCTCCCAAAGTGCTGGGATTACCGGCGTGAGCCACTGCGCCCAACCTATTTATTTTGAGACGGAGTCTTGCTCAGCCACCCAGACTGGAGTGCAGTGGCATGATCTCGGCTTCCTGCAACTGCTGTCTCCTGGGTTCAAGCGATTCTCCTGCCTCAGCCTTCCAAGTAGCTGGGATTACAGGCACCTGCCATCATGCCTGGCTAATTTTTGTATTTTAGTAGAGGTGGGGTTTCACCATGTTGGCCAGGCTGGTCTTGAACTCCTGACCTCAGGTGATCTGCCCGCCTTGGCCTCCCAAAGTGCTAGGATTACAGGCATGAGCCACTGCACCCAGCCTAGACTTTATTTTTTGAACTATTTTGTGCTGACAGAAAAAATCAAGCAGGAAGTAGAGAGAGTTCTCCATACACTCCTTAGCCTCTATTATTATCTTGCATTTGTGTGGTATACATTTTCAAATCAATGAGCCCATATTGATACATTATTACTAACTAATGTCCAAAGTTTACATTAGGGCTTCCCCTTGGTGTTACACAGTCTATGGGTTTAGACAAATGTATCATGGCATGTAGCCATCATTGTAGTATCACACAGGATAGTTTCACTGCCCGAGAAATCCCCTCTGCTCCACTAGTCATCCCTTCCCCACCCCACCTTACCCCAAAACCACAGATTTTTTTTTAACTGTCTCTATTGTTTTGCCTTTTCCAGTGTCATAGAGTGGAATTACATAATATGTAGCCTTTCAGATTGGCTTCTTTCACTTAGTAATATGCATGTAAGTTTCTTCCATGTCTTCTCAGAGCTCAATAGCTCATTTCGTCTTAGCCCTGAATAACATGCCGTTGTCTGGGTGTTCCATAGTTTGTTTATCCATTCGCCTGCTTAAAGACATCTTGATTGTCTCCAGGTTTTGGTAATTATGAATAAAGCTGCTATAAACATCTGTGTGCAGTTTTTTGTGTAGTTGTAAGTTTTTAACTCATTTGAGTAAATACCAAGGAGCATGATTGCTGGATCTTATGGCAAGACTGTATTTAGCTTTGCAAGAAATGATCACACTGTGCTCCGAAGTGGCTGCACCACGTTGCATTCCCATCAGCAATGAATGAGAGTTTCTGTGGCTCCCATCCTCACCAGCATGTTCTCAGGGTTCTTGGTTTCTCAGTATGTTTGACATTCTCAGTGTTTTGAATTTGAGCTGTTCTAATAAGTGTGCAGTTGTATCTCACTGTTGACTTAATTCATAATTTCTGAATGACATTTGATGTTAAGCCTCTTTACCTATGCTTACTTGCCATCTGTATATCTTTTTTGGTGAAGTATCTGTTCAGATCTTTTGCTCATTTTCTAATTAGGCCATCTCTTTTCTTATGGTTGAGTATAAGAGTTCTTGGCATATTTTGGACATCAGTCATCAGACATGTGTTTTGCAAATATTTTCTCCTGGCCTGTGGCTTGTCTTGTTCTCACAGGCTGCTATGCATTTGGATGTTTAGGAGGACCAGTGAGGACAACACCGGTGTCTCCCACGGTGTGCTTGTGTGTGTGCAGAGGAATATACTCACTGGAAAGCAGACTGAGATGTGAGGCCACATCTAGGCAATGGGAGAGAGTTTGGAATGGAGGAACATTTGTTTTGGGTGGAAATATGTCAGCTTTCATTGCTTTAGCTCCATCCTTCTATTCATCCAACCAATATTTATGAGGTGCCTGCTATGTACCCAGTATGATTCTAGGTATCAGGAAAGCAAAGATCAGTGAGAAGAGTCCCTACCTTCAAAACACTCACAGGCCAGTTTGGGAGGTGGTCATTTCAATGCAGTGTGAAAATGCCCCAATCTCCAGTGTGGGCAACATAGGGAGACCCTGTCTCTACAAAAGTTAGAAGAAAAAAAAAAAAAAAACAGAGGCATAGTGGCCTGTGTCTGTAGTCCCAGTGACTCAAGGGAATGAGGTTGGAGGATTGTTTGAGCCCAGGAATTCAAGGCTGCAGTAAGCTATGATCATGCCACTGCACTCCAGCCTGGGTAACAGAGCGAGACTCCAACTCAAAAACAAGCACCCCAGTGGAGGGAAGGGTGGGGTGTGGAGGGGACGGGGAAGGTTGTTGGGTAAGGGGCAATAACAGGAGAAGGGAGAAGGAGAATCAGTATGAAGATCTCACCTACTCCATGGTCTCCACTAGGGAGCGTTCCGTCTCCTGCTGAGCCATTTGCACAGGTGCCCAGGAGAATCCCATTACTAGAGGGCAAAGGGCAGGGGGCCCCCCCACACCATGCTCTCACTGTTGCAGCCACAGCTTCCTCTTTGTCACTTTCACAGGCTACCTTCATCCCCAAACAGGAACTGCTGCAAGGCCCGCAGCAGCCATGGGTGAGTGGCTCTGGAGATGGGGTAAGTGGCCTACGCACCCCAGAGGAACAGCTGGCAGCCTAGTCTTCGGGCAGCAGCTCCACTCAGCCCTGGGGAATGACAGATACAGGTGTGTTCCCTCAGGTGCATATGTGCATGTGCTTGTGTGCAACTTCCTCCTCTGCTCTCATTCCTGCAAGGTGCATTCTCAGAAGGCTGTTACTCCACAGTCACTACGGTTGTGAAGCGGAACCAGACAACTTCCCATTTTCGAGGTTCTACAATTGGCAATATGGGAAAATCTTACCCCATTACCACCCAACTCGATTCTTTCAATGCAAGCTTGTCTAACCCATAGCCTGCAGGCCACATGTGACCCAGGATGACTTTGGATGTGGCCCAGTGCAAATTCGTAAACTTTCTTAAAATATTATAAGATTGTTTTGCAATACATCAGTATCGTTAGCGTTAGTGTATTTTATATGTGGCCCAAGACAATTCTTCTTCTGATGTGGCCGAGGGAAGCCAAAAGATTGGATACTCCTGCGTAAGGGGGAAATGCATGTTTATAGTCATATATATATATTTTTTTTTTCTAATTTTTTTTTTGCACCCAGTGCAGTGGCACAATCATAGCTTGCTGCAGACTCAAACTCCTGGGCTCAAGTCATTCTCCCACCTCAGCCTCTGATTAAACCATCCTCTTACCTCAGCCTCCTTAGTAGCTAGGACTACAGGTGTAAGCCACCACGCCTTGCTAATTTTTAGATTTTTTGTAGAGACAGGGTCTCACTATGTTGCCCAGGCTATTCTCAAATTCCTGGGCTCAAATGATCCTCCCACCTCAACCTCCCAAAGTGCTGGGATTACAGGCATGAGCCACCACGTCCAGCTGCTTATAGTAAAATATCCTAATGACTATAGACAATAATGTAAGATGAAAAGTCAAAGTCCTCATTAATCTGACCATGATCACTGTTATCCTCCCTGGAGAGAGTCACTGTTAAGAATTTCTTGGATCGTCTTCCAGGCCTTCCCTAAGTGCAAATACACATAAGTCTTTGTTTGTATAAAAATAGGCCATAAAATATACACAGTTCTGTGACTTCCTTACTCACTTACGTCTGTATCTTGAACATATTTCCAGGTCACTATAGAGAATCCAATCTCTCTTTTGTTTGCAATCAATCTCTCTTCTCTTTTTTAAGACAACCAGTTATGCCAGTGAAGTGCCCTAAACTAGAGATAGCTGGGGCGCTGTCAGCCACCTTAACAGTGAGAAGAAGCAACAGGATGAAGTGGAAACAGCGTCACACAGATGGAGCCTCGAATCCCAGCATGCTAGCCATGTGTCATCTTCATAGTCTTCCTAACGTCTGTGGCCTCAGATGCCACATCAGTAAATGGCACACCATATGTGATTTAGGCTAAGGGCCTGAGTGTAATAGTTGCTTAGGAATTATAGCCCTTCTTAAATAAATGGAGAAACAGTCCATGTTCATGGATTGGAAGCCTCAATGTTATTAAGATGGCAAATCTCCCCAGAGTGACCTGTAGATGCAACACAATCCCTATCAAAATCCCAGCAGGCTTTTCACTCCTTTTTAATAAGGACACCGGTCATATTGTATTAAGGTCCATCCTAATGACCTCATCTTAACTCAGCTACATCTGCAAACACCTTAATCCAAATATGACATTCTGAGGTACTGGGATTAGGGCTTCAAAATATCTTTTTGGGGGAACACAAGTCAACCCATAACAGATAATTAACACAAATACATGGAAAACTATCCCATATTCATGGATTGGAAGTACTAATAGTATTTAAATGTCCATATTACCCAGAGGTCTAGAGATTCAATGCAATCCCTATCAAAATACCCATAATGTTCTTCACAGAAGTGGGAGTAAACAATCTTAAAATTCATGTGGAAATGCAAAAGACCCTGGATAGCCAAAGCAATCGAGTAAAAGGAACAAAGCTGGAGGTCTCACCACAACACATGGTTAAGGAGTTAAAATGGGACATTTGAAACTTTATATTACTACAGAGTTTAATGCAAGATTCATGCAGATTTTTAAAAGATAAACCACGACACGTCACAGGAATATCTAGCTTTTGATATGTCCCCATGCCTTCCACAGGTACCCTCCTACAGCTCCCCTCCACTGTCCCCTCCCTAAGGGGGTACAATTCAGCTCTTTTGCCCTAAAGAGCATTTGGATGGAAAGTTTGAGATGTCCTAACAGTTGAGTGCTACTATAATGTTTATTTCATGGGGGATGAGGAGGTGGGGAAGGAGGGGTGGAAACAGGCGGGAAGGAGGGGTGGAAACAGGCTGGGAGGAGGGGCCAGAGGGTACCTACAAAAGCTATATATTATCCTTTATTTTGCTTGACCAAAGCAACCAACAAAATGTAACTCCAGGTTTCTAAGAGCTAATTTTAGAATACTTATTAAGATTCCTCCCCATTCCCTCAGCACCCTATCAAATACTAAGACTGGCACTATATTAATACAGGTGACATCAAAGGACTATAATCCATCTATCTTTTTGACCCTTGGCCCATTTGCCTTATTCAGAACAGCAAAGTTGTGGTTATCGGATGCCACCAAGTGCATCTGATGCTATGTCCCCAAAAGCTCCTCTACAATTGTGTCCATTGGCACCACTGGTCTTGTTGGTAATCACAGTGGGAAAAGCCCCTGATGAGCTGGATGTCACTTTATTGCTAACAACCTCTTTCTCCCTCAAATTCTTGTTTACCCTCAAAAGTGACTCTCTACATTGGCGTTGACTTTGGGAAAATGCCCTGAGCTGTAGGTACTCTTAAGAGTTGTGCACTTTTCAGAATGTACATTATCCTTCAAGAGATTGTTTATTTAAAAAATGTATTTATAAATGAGATTAGACTGTAATATCACTGACGACTAAACAGTGGTCATTATTTTAGAGTGTTGCAGTCAGCGCTAACCTTTTTTTTTTGTGCATCGATTTTTCCAGTGTTCTGAGATCTTGTTACTGGTGGCGAATCCATACAGGTCTGCAGCAACCTCAATTCTTGCCTCTTCAGAACACAGAATTCAACCAAGGGACCTAAGGCAGAAGGAGAGACCAAGGCAAGTTTAGAGCTGGAGTGAAAATTTCTTGAAAAGTTTTAGGATAGGAGTGAAAGGAAGTTAAGTACACTTGGGAGAGGGCCAAGAGGGCGGCTTGAGAGACCAAGTGCATTGTTTGACCTTTGACTTGGGGTTTAATACTTCAGCATGCTTCCAGGGGCTTGCGGTCCTTCTCCTCTGATTCTTCCCTTGGGTGGGCTGTCCGCATGCGCGGTGGCCTGCCAGCGCTCAGGAGGGGCCTCAAGTGCAGTGCGTTTACCAAAATTGTGCACAAGCTCACTTGAGGCGCTCTTTCCTTACCAGTCGAGTGTTACTAGAGGAAGGTCGTATACCAGTTAAACTCCACCAGTTTGCCTCTTAGTGTGCGTGCTTAGCCTACTCGCCCACCTCCTGAGATCTTATCGGGAAGCTGCTCATCACCAGTTTCAGGTATTTTCTGTCTATTGGGAGACAACATTTCCCAGGCACTTGCTACAACCAATTATTATTCTAGACAGTTAACAACTGCCTGACCATCACTAGATGGTCGCCTGACATTCCTGGTGTGTGCAGGGGGCCCTCTCCTGCCCTGCTTGTGTCTGACTAGCTACCTACTGTAACAATCTCATGAAATAACTTTTGTCAAACAACTGGAACAATTTATCGTAGATGGAAATACCTATTACTGTCTACAGCTTGTCAGGGATGGGTGCATGTGTTTGAAACTCAGAGAGGATGTTTTACCTCAGGAGATTACCTAATGATGTATAAACCCTTTTACTCACATGGCCTAGTGATATGATTTCATAGTCTAAGATTTTCAATGAGTTAAAAAAGCTGATGCATTTTATTTTGTCTTCCATGAATCCTTGCTTCTCTAGCATATAGATTTTTTTTTTTTTTAGCTCATGTAAGAACAGGGGTCGGGTGCAGTGGCTCATGCCTGTAATCCGAGCACTTTGGGAGGCCGAGATGGGCGGATCACCTGAGGTCAGGAGTTCGAAACCGGCCTGGCCAACATGGTGAAACCCCGTCTCTACTAAAAATATAAAAATTAGCCAGGCGTGGTGGTGCACGCCTGTAATCCCAGCTATCCGGGAGGCCGAGGCAGGAGAATTGCTTGAACTTGGAAGGCAGAGGTTGCAGTGAGCAGAGATCATGCCACTGTACTCCAGCCTATGCAAGAGAGTGAGGAAAAAAAAAAAAAAAAGAATTGGGGCTGGACACAGTAGCTCTGTCTTGGAAAAAAGCTCTGTCTTGGGAAAAAAAAAAAAAAAGAAGAAGAATTGGGGCTGGACACAGTAGCTCATGCCTGTAATCCCTGTACTTTGGAAGGCCGAGGTGGGCGGATCACTTGAGCTCAGGAATTTGAGACTAGCCTGGGCAATATGGTGAAACCCCGTCTCTACTAAAAATACAAAAATTGGCCAGTTGCGGTGGCTCACGCCTGTAATCCCAGCACTTTGGGAGGCCGAGGTGGGTGGATCACGAGGTCAGGAGTTCAAAACCAGCCTGGCCAAGATGATGAAACCCCATCTCTACTAAAAATACAAAAATTAGCTGGGTGTGGTGGCAGGGGGCCTGTAATCCCAGCTACTCCGGAGGCTGAGGCAGAGAATTGCTTGAACCTAGGAGGCGGAGGTTGCAGTGAGCCGAGATCATGCCACTGCACTCCAGCCTGGGTGACAGAGCGAGACTTGGTCTCAAAAAAAAAAAAAAAAAATTAGCTGGGCATGGTGCCATGTAGCTGTGGTCCCAGCTACTCAGGAGGCTGAGGTGGGAGGATTGCTTGAGCTGGGGAGGTGGGGGTTACAGTGAGTGGAGATCATGCCATAGCACTCCAGCCTGGGTGACGGAGTGAGACCCCATCTCCAAAAAAAAAAAAAAAAAAAAAATAGAAAAGAAAAATAATTGGGGCTTAAAACTTTGGGTCTCTGTTTTCAGTGTTCAAAAAGTCTCTGGATTCATTGATGCTAATGAGGTTGATGAACATTTCAGAACCTGTCTGTTCCTTCTGTTTTATGATCGTGACTGAGTTTTCTGGAGCTGTCAGGTAGGAGCTAGGCCACACATCTGGGGCTCGGCACCAGAAAAGGTAGGCTGGAATTGCAGGAAGACAGGAGAAGCTACTGGTTCTTTGCTGAGAATGTTAGAGCCGTGTTCTCTCCGGGTTAGAGAGCACAGGATGAGCGCTGTGCCTGGGTACCAGTCATTCTGTGAGGAAATGATGGGACAGCCCTCTGCCTCTTCCCTTCCTGCAGCACAGGCAGGGATATAATCCATAATTAATGGTCATTCCTCAGGAATGGAGTTCAAGGAGCCTGTCTTTCCCGTCCCCATATTCCCCCTTAAAGAGTGGCCCATTGTTGACAGCCATATCTGAGACTGTTTAGGCAGCATCTCCAGACCTTTGCACACACTATTTATTCATTTATCAGGAATGCCCACTCTTCTATCTGCTTGGCAAACTTCTCTTTCCCTTCAAGACCCAGCTCAGGCACAACATTCCCTATCCCCCGATTAACCTCTGCACCCTGCTTTAAGCCCAACATTTGGCACAAAGCAGGTGTCCAATGAATGCATGACACATGCATGCACTTTCAGGAAAGAAGACATGGCATGCAGAAAGAGTGGGCTTTGGCAACTGGAGAAAGCTCAGTTTGAATTCTAGACCTGAAATTTACCAACTGTGAGACCTTAAGTGGCTTAACCTCCCTGTGTCTCCATGTAATCATTCATGAAATGGTAACAGCAATATTTATCCCCATAGACTTAATAAAGGTAAGATCATTTTGTGAATGTTAAAGCACTATACAAAAGTAAGAAACAGCAAGCACTTACTGTGTTCTTGCTATATGCAATGCACTTTCACTGATCTCATTTAGCTCCACAATAAAAATGAGATGAATAGTAACATTCTAATTTTACAAAAAAGCAAAAGGAGAGTCAAAGAGGTAAAGGGACTGGCCCAGCAGATGGCAGGCCCAGACTCGCTCTCAGGTTCCTCCCACTCCAAGTCCTATGCTCCTTGTGCACAAGGGTGGAACACACTCTGCCTGGTGCGCTACAGGAAAGAGCACAATGATCTGAGATGATGAGCCCAGCAGCTCATCTACAGTTGGGTGTAGCTATAGGGCTGACAATCCAACTCTCGCTTATGAATTATTCAAGTCTTAACCCCATCGGACCTCTAAACACACCAAGTATAACTGTTGATCTCAAATTTCACAAATAGTTCTTTTCCCTCTCCTAAAGGATTCCACATGTATCTCAATGCCACAAAGGTGTTTCCTGCTCAAATTAGGCTACTTCCCAATAGGACTGAGTTCACTTTTTTTTTTTTTTTTTTTTTTTGAGATGGAGTCTCTCTCTGTCCCCAGGCTGGAGAGCAGTGGCGCAATCTCGGCTCACTGCAACCTCTGCCTGCCGGGTTCAAGCGATTCTCCTGCGTCAGCCTCCTGAGTAGCTGGGACTACAGGCATGCACCACCATACCTGGCTAATTTTTGTATTTTTAGTAGAGATGGGGTTTCACCATATTGACCAGGATAGTCTCCATCTCTTGACCTCGTGATCTGCCCCCCTCGGCCTCCCAAAGTGCTGGGATTAGAGGCCTGAGCCAGCACGCCCGGCCGAGTCTCGCTCTTGTCACTCAGGCTGGAGTGCAATGGCAAGATCTTGGCTCACTGCAACCTCTGCCTTTAGGGTTCAAGCAATTCTCCTGCCTCAGCCTCCCGAATAGCTGGGATTTCAGGCACCTGCCACCACACTGGCTAATTTTTGTATTTTTAGTAGAGATGGGGTTTCGCCTTGTTGGCCAGGCCGCTCTTGAACTCCAGACCTCAAGTGATACGCCCACCTCGGCCTCCCAAAATGCTGGGATTACAGGCACACGCCACCACGCCTGGCCAGAAGGCAGTTATGAATCTGATCACTTGCTAAAATGTGTTCCATGGCTGAGTAGAGACTGAGCCACAGCTTGCGTCCTTCTTCTCGTTTTTCCTGTTGAGTGAATGGATGAAAGTTGTTTCTGAAGAGAGAAGAGGCCATATGTTGCTCACAGGTCATATGGAAGACCCACCCTGTGGAATCAAGAGTTGCAAGTGCTGAAGCTGTGACATTCTACCCAGAGGAAGGGATTTTTCCTCATTTTCTATTCACATTTTCCAAATAAGAAAACAGAGTAGGGGCCAAGGAAGTGTTTGGTTTCTGGGTTTTTAATATCAGTTGTCCTGGCAAATGCCAGTTATCCATGGCTGTGTAATGAATCATCCCTAAACTTAGGACCAAAAATAAGAGCAATCACTTTTTTACAGGTTGAGTATCCCTTATCCAAAATGCTTGGGAACAGAGGACTAGATTGCAGCTCCGACTCGGATGGACAGAGCAGTGTGTGGAGGCTCACATCATGAATTTTAGCTCCAGAATGACTGCAAGAACAAACCAGGAATCCTGAGAGGACCCACAGACCCAATGAAGGAAGCGGGCTGCTCCTGCAGGACCCGGGAGTCACCCCAAGTACTGTGCTGGTATCCATGGCTGAGAGACCCATAGATGGTTCACATCACAGGACTCTGTGTAGACAACCCCCAGTACCAGCCTGGAGCCAGGTAGACTCGCTGGGTGGCTAGACCCAGAAGAGAGGCAACAATCACTGCAGTTCGGCTCACAGGAAGCCACATCCATAGGAAAAGGAGGAGCATACTACATCAAGGGAACACCCCGTGGGACAAAAGAATCTGAACAACAGTCTTCAGCCCTAGACCTTCCCTCTGACAGAGCCTACCCAAATGAGAAGGAAACAGAAAACCAACCCTGGTAATATGACAAAACAAGGCTCTTCAACACCCCCCAAAAATCACACTAGCTCACCAGCAATGGATCCAAATCCAGAAGAAATCCCTGATTGACCTGAAAAAGAATTCAGGTGTTTAGTTACTAAGCTAATTAGGGAGGGACCAGAGAAAGGCAAAGTCCAATGCAAGGAAATCCAAAAAAAATGATACAAGAAGTGAAGGGAGAAATATTCAAGGAAATAGATAGCAAAAAGAAAAAACAATCAAAACTTCAGGAAACATTGGACACGCTTACAGAACGCAAAATGCTCTGGAAAGTCTCAGCAGTAGAATTGAGCAAATAGAAGAAAGAAATTCAGAGCTCAAAGACAAGGTCTTTGAATTAACCCAATCCAACAAAGATAAAGAAAAAAAGAAAAAGAAAATATGAGCAAACCCTCGAAGAAGTTGGGGATTATGTTAAATGACTAAACCTAAGAATAATCAGTGTTCCTGAGGAAGAAGAGAAATCTAAAATTTTGGAAAACATATTTCAGGGAATAATCAAGGAAAACTTCCCCGGCCTTGCTAGAGACGTAGACATCCAAATACAAGAAGCACAAAGAGCACCTAGGAAATTCATCTCAAAAAGATCTTCGCCTAGGCACATTGTCATCAGGTTATCCAAAGTTAAGATGAAGGAAAGAATCTTAAGAGCTGTGAGACAGAAGTACCAGGTAACCTATAAAAGAAAACCTATCAGATTAACAGCAGATTTCTCAGCAGGAACCCTACAAGCTAGAAGGGATTGGGGCCCTATCTTCAGCCTCCTCAAACAAAACAGTTATCAGCCAAGAATTTCGTATCCAGTGACACAAAGCATCATATATGAAGGAAAGATACAGTCGTTTTTAGACAAACAATGCTGAGAGAATTCACCATCACCAAGCCACCACTAGAAGAACTGCTGAAAGGAGCTCTAAATCTTGTAACAAATCCTGGAAACACATCAAAACAGAACCTCTTTAAAGCATAAATCACACAGGGCCTATAAAACAAACATGCAAGTTAAAAAGCAAAAGCCAAAACCAAAAAAAACCTAAGTACACAGGCAACAAAGAGCATGATGAATGCAATGGTACCTCACACCTCAATAGTTACGTGGATGTAAATGGCCTAAGTGCTCCACCTAAAAGATACAGAACCACAGAATGGACAAGAACTCACCAACCGTCTGCCTGCCTTCAGGAGATTCACCTAATACGTAAGGACTCACATCTCACATAAACTTACAGGGGTGGAAAAAGGCATTTCAGCCAGGCTTGGTGGCTCATGCCACCCAGCACTTTGGGAGGCCGAGGTGGGCGGATCATGAGGTCAGGAGTTCAAGACCAACCTGGCCAGCATGGTGAAACCCCGTCTCTACTAAAAATACAAAAAATTAGCTTGGCATGGTGGCACGTGCCTGTAGTCGCAGCTACTCAGGAGCCTGAGGCAGGAGAATTGCTTGAACCCGGCAGGCAGAGGTTGCAGTGAACCAAGGTTGCACCACTGCACTCCACCTGGGCAACAGAGAGAGACTTTGTCTCAAAAAAAAAAAAAAAAAAAAAAGGCAGTTTTTGCAAATAAGACAACAAAAACGAGCAGAGGTAGCTATTCTTATATCAGACAAAACAAACTTTAAAGCAACAGCAGTTAAAAGAGACAAACAGGAACATTATATACTGATAAAAGGCCTTGTCCAATAGGAAAATATCACAATCCTAAACATATATGCACCTAACACTGGAGCTCCCAAATTTATAAAACAATTACTAATAGACCTAAGAAATGAGACAAACAGCAACATAATAATAATGGGGGACTTCAATACTCCACTGACAGCATCAGACAGGTCAAGACAGAAAGTTAACAAAGAAACAATGGATTTAAACTATACCTTGGAACAAATGGACTCAACCGATATATATAGAACATTTCATACAACAACTACAGAATACACATTCTATTAAAAGCACATGGAACTTTCTCCAAGATAGATCATATGATAGGCAGCAAAGAGCCTCAATAAATTTAAGAAAACTGAAATTATATCAAGCGCTCTATCAGACCACAGTGGAATAAAACTGGAAATCAACTCCAAAAGGAACCTTCAAAACCATGCAAATACATGGAAATTAAATAACCTGCTCCTGAATGATCATTGGGGCAAAAACAAAATCAAGATGAAAATTTAAAAATTCTTCGAACTGAACGACAATAATGACACAACCAATCAAAACCTCTGGGATACAGCAAAGGCGGTCTTAAGAGGAAAGTTCATAGCCCTAAATGCCTACATCAAAAAGACTGAAAGAGCACAAACTGACATTCTAAGGTCACACCTCAAGGAACTAGAGAAACAAGAACAAAGCAAACCCAAATCCAGCAGAAGAAAGGAAATAACCAAGATCAGAGCAGAACTAAATCAAATTGAAATTCAAAACAGTCAAATGATACATGTAACAAAAAGCTGGTTCATTGAAAAGATAAATAAAATTGATAGACCCTTAGCAAGATTAACCAAGAAAAGAAGAGAGAAACTCCAAATAACCTCATTAAGAAATGAAACAGTAGGTATTACAACTGACACCACTGAAATACAAAAGATCATTCAAGGCTACTGTGAATACATTTACAGACATAAACTAGAAAGTCTAGAAGAGACAGATACATTCCTGGAAAAATACAACCCTCCTAGCTTAAATCAGGAAGAATTAGATACCCTGAATAGACCACTAACAAGCAGTGAGATTGAAATGGTAATTTAAAAATTACCAACAAAAAAAAAGTCCAGGGTCAGATGGATTCCCAGCAGAATTCTACCAGACATTCAAAGAAGAATTGGTACCAATCAATCCTTTTGACACAATTCCACAAGATAGAGAAAGAGGGAACCCTCCCTAACTCATTATATGAAGCCAGCATCACCCTAATACCAAAACCAGGAAAGGACGTAACCAAAAAAGAAAACTACAGACCGATATCCTTGACGAACACAGAAGCTAAAATCCTTAACAAAATACTAGCTAACCAAATCCAACAACATATCAAAAAGATAATCCACCATGATCAAGTGGGTTTCATACCAGGGATGCAGGGATGGTTTAACATATGTAAGCCAATAAATGTGATACACCACATAAAATAGGATTAAAAACAAAAATCACATGATCATCTCAATAGATGCAGAAAAAGCATTTAACAAAATCCAGCATCCTTTATGATTAAAATTCTCAGCAAAATTGGCATACAAGGGACATACCTTAATGTAATAAAAGCCGTCTATGACAAACCTACAGCCAACATAATACTGAATGGGGAAAAGTTGAAAGGATTCCCTCTGAGAATTAAAACAAGACAAGGATGCCCACTCTCACCACTCCCCTTCAACATAGTACTGGAAGTCCTAGCCAGAGCAATCAGACAAGAGGAAGAAATAAAGGGCATCCAAATCAGTAAAGAGGAAGTCAAACTTTCACTGTTTGCTGCCGATATGATCGTTTACCTAGAAAACCCTAAAGACTCCTCCAGAAACCTCTTACAACTGATAAGAGAATTCAGCAAAGTTTCCGGATACAAGATTAATGTACAAAAATCAGTAGCTTTTCTAACACCAACAATGACCAACCGGAGAATCAAATTAAAAAAACCTAACCTCTTTTACAATAGCTGCAAAAAAATTACAATACTTAGGAATATACCTAACCACGGAGGTGAAAGACCTCTACAAGGAAAACTACAAAACACTGCTGAAAGAAATCATAGATGGCACAAACAAATGGAAACACATCCCATGGTCCTAGATGGGTAGAATCAATATTGTGAAAATGACCACACTACCAAAAGCAATTTATAAATTCAATGCAATCCCCATCAAAATACCACCGTCATTCTTCACAGAATTAGAAAAAACAATCCTAAAATTCATATGGAACCAAAAAAGAGCCCACATAGCCAAGCAAGACTAAGCAAAAAGAACAAATCTGGAGGCATCACACTACCCGATTTCAAATTACATGTCCGTAGTCACCAAAACAGCATGGTGCTGGTATGAAAATAGGCACATAGACCAATGGAACAGAATAGAGAACCCAGAAATAAACCCAAATACTTACAGCCAACTGATCTTCAAAAAAGCAAACAAAATCATAAAGTGGGGAAAGGACACCCTTTTCAACAACTGGTGCTGGGATAATTGTGTAGCCACCTGTAGGCAAATGAAACTGGATCCTCATCTCTCAGCTTACACAAAAATCTACTCAAGATGGACTAAGGACTTAAATCTAAGACCTGAAACCTTACAAATTCTAGAAGATAACATTGAAAAAACCCTTCTAGACATTGGCTTAGGCAAGGATTTCATGACCAAGAACCCAAAAGCAAATGCAATAGAAACAAAGATAAATAGCTGGGACTTAATTAAACTAAAGAGCTTTGCACGGCAAAAGGAACAGTCAGCAGAGTAAACAGACAATCCACAGAGTGGGAGAAAATCTTCACAGTCTAGACATCTGACAAAGGACCAATATCCAGAATCTACAATGAACTCAAACAATATCAGCAAGAAATAAACAAACAATCCCATCAAAAAGTGGGCTAAGGACAATAGACAATTCTCAGAAGAAGATATACAAATAGCCAAAAAACTTATGAAAAAATACTCAACATCACTAATGATCAGGGAAATGCAAATGAAAACCACAATGTGATACCACCTAACTCCTGCAAGAATGGCCATAATAAAAAAATCAAAAAACGGCCGGGCGCGGTGGCTCACGCCTGTAATCCCAGCACTTTGAGTGGCCGAGGCGGGTGGATCACGAGGTCAGGAGTTCAAGACCAGCCTGGCCAAGATGGTGAAATCCCGTCTCAACTAAAAATACAAAAAAATTTAGCCAGGCCTGGTGGTGGGTGCCTGTAATCCCAGCTACTTGGGAGGCTGAGGCAGAGAATTGCTTGAACCCAGGAGGCAGAGGTTGCAGTGAGCCGAGATCGCGCCATCACACTCCAGCCTGAGTGACAGAGCAAGACTTCATCTCAAAAAAAAAAAAAAAAAAAATTAAAAAACAGTAGATGTTGGTGTGGATGAGGTGATCAGGGAACAGTTCTACACTGCTGGTGGGAATGTAAACTAGTATGGCCTCTATGGAAAACCGTGTGGAGATTCCTTAAATAACTAAAAGTAGAACTACCATTGGATCCAGCAATCCTACTACTGGATATCTACCCTGAGGAAAAGTCATTATACAGAAAAGATACTTGCACATGCATGTTTATAGCAGCACAATTCACAATTGCAAAATTGTGGAACCAACCCAAATACCCACCAATCAACAAGTGGATAGAGATACTGTGAGATAGAAGATAGATAGATAGATGATAGATAGATATCTGGTGGGCATCCTCATCTAGATATCTATCATCTATCTATCTATCTATCTATCTATCTATCTATCTATCTATCTATCTATCTGATGGAATACTACTCAGCCAAAAAAAGGAATGAATTAATGGCATTCACAGTGATCTGGATGAGATTGGAGACTATTACTCTAAGTGAAGTAACCCAGGAATGGAAAACCAAACATCGTATATTCTTACTGATATCTAGGAGCTAAGCTATGAGGATGCAAAGGCATAATAATGATGCAATGGGTTTGGGGATTGGGCGGAAGGGTGGGAGGGGGGTGAGGGATAAAAGACTACAAATATGGTGCAGTGTATACTGCTTGGGTGATGAGTGCACCAAAATCCCACAAATCACCACTAAGGAACTTATTCATGTAACCAAATACCACCTGTTCCCCAATTACCTATGGAAAAAAACACCCAAAATGCTTGGGAACAGAAATGTTTTGGATTTTGGATTTTTTTTTAAATATTGGAATATTTGCGTTATACTCACCAGTTGAGCATCCCTGATCCAAAAATGAGAAATCCAAAATGTGCCAATATTCATTTCCTTTGAGCATGACCTTTGAGCATCATATCGGCACTCGAAGAGTTTTGAACTTTGGAGTATTTCAGATTTTATAAATTTTGGATTAGGGCTGCTCAGCCTGTTTTCTCTCTCATGGTCTGAAATTGACTGGGGTCTCCTGGACCATTCTTGTGAGACTGCGGTCAGACAGTGGCTTGGGCTGGAGTCACGGGGGCGGTCTCTTTGTTTGCATGTCTAGTGATTGATGTCTGCTGTAGGCTGAGGCTACAGTTGGAGCTGCCACCCCAGGCACATGGCCTCTTCATGTGGCCTGAGCTTCCTCCTATCACAGAACCGGAGAGAGAGAATCCCAAGAAGACTGGACGGAAGCTGTTTCACCTTGTATGACCCAGCCTCAGAACCCACATGTCATCCCCTCTGCTATAGTCATAGGCCCATCCAGATTCAAGGAGAGGGACATAGGCCCTAGTTCTTGGTGAGAGGAATGTCAATATCACATCGACACACCATTGTAAGAATATGTGGGGTGGGAGATTGTGTTCAGGCCATTTTGGAAAATACCATATGCCACAGGGTGCAGCCTGGACATTTTCCGCCTCATGACTTCTTGGCTGGTACTTTTGTTCTAATTCGTACTGAGCAGGAATTGACTACATGTAGATTAAAACCTTCCGTATGTCCCCAAATCCCCCAGAACAAAAAACCAACAAAAAAGCTGGGCGCAGTGGCTCACGCCTGTAACCAGCACTTTTTGAGAGGTTGAGGCTGGCAGATCATGAGGTCAGGAGTTCAAGACCAGCCTGGCCAACATGGTGAAACCCCATCTCTACTAAAAATACAAAACTTAGCCAGGTGTGGTGGCACATGCCTGTAATCCCAGCTGCTGGAGAGGCTGAGGCAGGAGAATAGCTTGAACCCAGGAGACAGAGGTTGCAGTGAGCCAAGATTGCAGTGAGCCAAGATCACGCCATTGCACTCCAGCCTGGGCAACAGAGCAAAACCCTGTCTCAAAAAAACAAACAAACAAACAAACAACAACAACAACAACAAACCCTTGGGGAATATTATTTGCAAAATAGACAACAAAAGGTTAATTAGCTTTAAAATGTAAAGGACACTTATAAATCAGTGAGATTCTCCCAATTAGAAAAAAGAACTGAGGACTAGAAGGACAATTGACAAAAGAACTTTAAGTGGCTAGTGTGCATTTCAAAAGTTTACCGCAACTTAAAGAGTGTAATTTTTTTTCTTTTTAGAGACTGAGCCTCAGTATGTTGCCCAGGATGGGCCTCAAACTCCTAGCTTCAAGCAGTCCTCCCATGTTGGCCTCCCAAAGTGCTGGGATTACAGGCGTGAGTCACTGCAACCAGCCAATAATGTAAATTTTAATAAACAAACACCACCTATGTAATTGGCAAAAATGAAAAAATAAACTATGCAAAGGCAAAAACATAGGTAAACGGGCCCTCTCCAACACTCCCGCTGGTGGAAGTATAAAGTGGTACAAACTTTCTGTAAGGCAGTTGGGGAGTATCTATTGAAAGTCTTAAATTTTTAAATAATCCTGAGTTGAAATTTATCCTAAAGATATTAATAAGGACACTGAGGGTCGGGCGTGGTGGCTCATGCCTGTAATCCCAGCACTTTGGGAGGCCGAGGCGGGTGAATCATGAGGTCAGGAGATTGAGACCATCCTGGATAACATGGTGAAACCACATCCCTACTACAAATATAAAAAATTAGCTGGGCATGGTGGCACATGCCTGTGGTCGCAGCTGCTCGGGAGGCTGAGGCAGGAGAATTGTTGAACCCGGGAGGCGGAGGTTGCAGTGAGCTGAGATTGCACCACTGCACTCCAGCCTGGGCAACAGAGCGTGACTCTCAAAAAAAAAAAAAAAAAAAAAAAAAGGACACTGATATTAGTATGTGGGTGTTTATTGGTTTATTGTTATTTATCACATCAAAAAACACATAGAAACACCCTAAAAGTTCATCAATAAATGAACTGGTGAGAGTTTATTGTCCATATAATAGAGTATGATACTATTATGTAGTTGATCAAAGTAATGTTCATATGCACATTTATTTAAATGGAAAACAAAAATACGGAAAAGTATCACAGGATCACATTTTTTGTTATATATATATCTTACAAAAATATATGTAAAAGTATTGTGTGTGTGTGTTTACAACATTTCTGGACAAGATTGTAGTGATGAGGCCATTATTGAGTAATGAAATTACTGTTATTTGTTTTTCTTGTGCCTTTATTTTCCAACTTTCTAAATGAAAATGTGCTGAATACAAATAAATAATAATGTAAGATAAAGTAAAAATAAATTTTCATTTAAGGTATTTCTTAAAAAGGGGGGTGAGGAAGGGTATTTAGAGTAAACCAAATCTGGAACTGGACTCTGCTCTGACGGCGTGACCTTTGCCAAGTTACTTCACCTCCTTAACCCTCAGTTTCCTGACTTACTCAATGGGCACAATAAATTCTACTACATAAGGTTATCCTGAGTTAGTTTTCCCATTTCCATCCAGCTAATAAAAGCTTCTTGCTGCACTCTCTCTCCTGAGCCTTCTCCCTTCTCTGATCCCCTTAACAAAGTGGTTCGAAGCAATCATTTAGCATCACCTGTTATTACTACCTGCTTAGTGACTAGACGCCCACTTATTTGCAAAAGCCCTGCATTTTCTGGAATTAGCCTGCTATTCCGTGTTTTCCACTTAGATTCACTCAGAACCTGGTCCATAAGGAGACGTATGCACTTTTGCATACACAGAATACACTCAGGAATACTTCTGTGTTTTCGTACCTCGGTGTAAGATGCTGAGCCCACGGCTGGGGATCTCGTGTGACGAATGTCTGCAAATGTTTGAGTAAGGAGATGACTTGGGGAGGAAAAGGGCTGGGCTATTTGGTGGAAATCTGAATTTAGATGAAGAGGCTTGACCATAATTGGGAAGTTCTTTTGCTAGCAGTTGGGCAACTCACCAATATGAAGAAAGCTCTTGAGTGGGACGATGGGAAGGCCCGAGCATAGCTTCTTTTGGGGAAGTTATCCGGGTAGCCAGGCCTGGGACGCTCCCCGCGCTCCGCCCTCACTTCTCTCTTCCCCCAAAAACAGGCATTGAGAGGCTCTTACTGCCCTCACGTGGCCCCTTCTGGAACTGTCTTTGAGGAGACCCGCCCAGATTTAAACTGAATCACGGGGGCTGGAGAGCACACACGCAGGCTTGCCAGTTAAGCTCATCTGTCCCCACTTAAGCTTCTAGCTACCAGGAAGCCGCTCTTCGAGCCTGTTTTCAAGCCTTTTTGGCCCTTCCGTCTCTTAAGTCCATGTTGTCTGAGCAAAGACCCTTTCTCCGTTGTAAGGAATTCTAAATCCTTTCGGCTGCAGCTTTCAGCAGCGCCTGGCATCCTGGCGGATGAGAAAAAGGGGAAAAACAGCAGCCCAACTTGAGAACCAGAGCTGGGCCGTGACGCTGCTGCGGGGGACTCTGGGTCCCGTCTTCCCCGCTTTCGAGACCTGTGGTCTTCAAATGTGCTCGATAGTACACTCCCTAAAAGAATTTTTGCAAAGTCCTGTTTTTCCCTGTTAAATCAAGTTTAGCTTAAAGCTACTCACATATTTTAAGTTCAGCCTAAAGGTTTCTCTGTGCCTGTAACCTAAAGGGAAGTGTAAATAGTCCCTCTCCCCCTTCACCCTCTCCTCTCCCGCTTTCTGTTTCTGCCTTATCTCTCTGACTCTTCTGCCTCCCTCCTCTGTTTTTAAGGGCCTGCCTGGATAACCCAGGATAATTTGCCTGTTTTAACGTCAGCTACTTAGTCATCTAAATTCCATCTGCAAAGTCCCTTCAGAGCAGTACAAAATTAGAATCTTGAAATCTTTAGAATTCGGCCAGCCACAACAACGATCAGCATTTTGCCAACCTTAGGTATCCAGGAGTTTTTGTTTTTAATTACAGTGATTTTTAAAAAACAGCTTATTTATTTATTTGACAGGGTCTTGCTCTGTGGCCCAGGCTGGAGTGCAGCGGCATGATCATAGCTCACTGTAACCTCAAACTCCCGGGCTCAAGCAATCCTCCTGCCTCAGCCTCCTGAGTAGCTAGGACTACAGGCACTTGCCACTACACCCGGCTAATTTTTAAAAGATTTTGTAGAGATGGGGGTCTCACTATATTGCCCAGGCTGGTCTCAAATTACTGGCCTCAAGTTGTCCTCCTGCCTCAGCCTCCTAAAGTGCTGAGATTACAGATGTGAGCCACTGTGCCCACCCAAAACAGCTTTATTGAGATATAATTCACATGCTATGTAATTCACCCAAAGTGTACCTGCAATGGTTTTGGGTATATTACATTATTAATTTTAAAAATTGTAAAATATGTATATATCATGAAATTTGCCATGTTAATAATTTTTTTTTTTGAGACAGAATCTTGCTCTGTTGCCAGGCTGGAGTGCAATGGCACGATCTCAGCTCACTGCAACCTCCGCCTCCCGGGTTCAAGCGATTCCTCTACCTCAGCCTCCTGAGTAGCTGGGACTACAGGTGCGCACCACCGCACCCGGCTAATTTTTTACATTTTAGTAGAGACGGGGTTTCACCATGTTGGCGAGGATGGTCTTGATCTCCTGACCTTGTGATCCGCCCGTCTTGGCCTCCCAAAGTGCTGGGATTACAGGCGTGAGCCACCGTGCCCAGCCATTAATAATTCTTAAGTGTACAAGTCACTGACATTTATTACATTCGCAATATTGTGCAACCATCACCACTATTTCCAATACTTTTCATTTTCCCAGGTAAGAATTCTGTAGCCATCGAGCAATAACTCTCCATTCCACCTCCCCACAGCCCCCGGTAACCTTTGATCTACTTTCAGTCTCCATGAATTGGTACATTCTAGATACCTCATATAAATGGAAGCGCATATATTGCTTGATAGTTTGTGTCTGGCTTATTTCCCACAGCATAATGTCCTGACGGTTCATCTGTGTTGTAGCATGTATCAGGATTTCATTTGTTAGGCTCAGTGATATTCCATTTTATGTACATAACGTATTTTGTTTATCCATTCATCTGTTGATGGACACTTGGGTTGTTTCCATCTTTTGGCTACAGTGAATGATATTGCAATGGACAGTAACACAGAAGCATCTGTTCCAGCCCTTGTTTTCTATTATTTTGGGTATAGTCCTAGGAGTGGAACTGCTGGATCATATAGTAATTCTATATTCAACTTTTTGAGGAACCACCAAGCTGTCTGTTTTCATTCCCATCAGCAACGGACAACGTTTCCAGATGCTCTCCAGTACTTGTTTTGTTTTGTTTTGTTTTGATAAAAGCCATCTTAATACTGTAAACTGGTGTCAAATTGTGGTTTTTATTTGCATTTACCTAATGACTAATGATATTGAGCATCTTTTCATATGCTTATTGGCCATTTGTATATCTTCTTCATATAAATGTTTATTCAAATCCTTTACTCATTTTTAAATTGTTTGCTTTTGTTGTTGAAATGTAGTTATATTCTGAATATTAATTCCTTATCACATATAGAGTTTGCAAATATTTTCTCCCATTCCATGGGTTGTCTTTTTACTCTCTTGATAGTATCCTTTGATGCAAAAATGTTAATTTTGATGAAGTCCAGCTTACCTGTTTTTTTCTTTCGTTGCTGGTGCTTTTGATATGTCCAAGAAATGTTTGACAAACCCAGTATCATGAAAATTTTTCCCTATATGCTAGCCCCTCAAGGATCAAAAGCAGCAATCAGTAATCAGAACCCACAACCTTGGTTTTTGGAAAACTGGGTCTTTATTGTCCAACCTGGCTCCAGCAAGCCACACTAAGTACCTGAGCTGCTGTCCCCACAACTGACTGCCCTGGGGCTGATCAAGGTGGGTGGTAGTCACCACTAAGTAAAGAGCTGAAATTGACCAAAACTTGCCAGCCTCCTCATCAAGCTTTCTCCTGGGTGCTGCAAGTGTTCCCTAAGATCCTGAATTCCAAAATAGTTGCATCAGACAGCTCTTGCCAGTTCAATTGTTTTAATGGAGGGATAGATTCCAGGAGCTTCTTATCTCCACCATGGAGCTTGATATCGTCTTTGAGTAACCAGATTTTATGGCCAGCATAAAACACTGGAAGTTTTAGCCCTAACATATGTAAGTTGTCTCTTTCAAGAAATTCACACTGGCAGGCTGTATACTGGCTCCACTGATGGTGCCAATTCCCTTCTCTGCAACAACTGAGCTCTGGACACCTCATTCCTGCAACTTCTGAGCCCCCTTCACTCTGTTCAACTCAGAGGCCATTCTCATCCCACCCAGGGGCCAGCATGAGTGGCACTGCCTGTTGGTGGCAGCTTAGAACAGACCAGGGGTCTCACTCCATAGCCAGTGCCAGGAAAGCATCTTTCTTCCTTCTGGAGGTAAAAAGAGAATTAAAACATAGCTTATCTCCAGAGCTGAATCAGAAAACTTTTTCTATTGCCTGCTTGTAGAATATATTTTCTCAATGAAAACAATATCCAAAAGGGTGGCTTGAAATCTATAATATAATTTATTTTTTATTTTTTTTTTAAGTTTTTGAGATAGGGTCTCACTCTGTTGCCCAGGTTGGAGTGCAGTGGCACGATCATAGCTCACTGCAGCCTTGGCCTCCCGGATTCAAACAATCCTCCCACCTCAGCCTCCTGAGTAGTTGGGACTACAGGTGTGTGCCACCATGCCCAGCTAATTTTTTTTTTTGATGTTTTGCAGAGATGGAGTCTCCCTGTATTGCCCAAACTGGTCTCAAACTCCTGGCCTCAAGTGATCCACCCACCTTGGCCTCCTAAAGTGTTGGGATTACAGGTGTGAGACACTGCACTCATTTTTAGGTAAATTACAACCCCTAAGGTTTTTTGTGGTTGAGAAACATACTAGCTCTCATAATACTGGGATAAGAGTTTCTGGGCTCCACAGGTTTTGCAGATTATTAAGTGGCTGTCTGTCTGTCTATCATGAATCAGCCTCCCAACATTAAATCTCTTCATTCAGAAAAGATAGAGGAAGATTTTCTTTTTTAAAAAAAGTTTATTTTCCACACTATTTGTACAGCTGTAAACTCAAGGAATCATCCAATACTTGTACAAATCTGGGAGAACAGTTAATAAGCACCTTCAGTGGTTTCCACAGTTTAAGAATTTACCATTAAAAAATTTTAGAATAAATCTAATAAAATGAATAAAATAGTTATAAAAATCATACAAAATCATGATGAACATTTGATATAGAGGGTTTAATATGAAACGATAAATACAAAAAGTGAGACTAATTTATGGATTTGGGCTACGTAAAAGACCTACATGGTCCTCGAATCTTGTGATTCTTGGGGCTATATTTGCCTCTCAAGACAAACTCCAATTATTCAAGGAAGACTTTCTTTCAATTCAGGTTCCAATGTACTGCAGAAGCAAGTGAGGACAAAGTCAGGAGAAGGTGGGGCAGAGAGGCTGAGTGTACTGGGGTTTGAGGAAAAGAGGAGAGACTCTTTTCCCCAAAGAGAGTATCAGGCAAATTCTTCCATGTTCTCAAGTATAAGTGGTCTTTGGCAAAATGTACCATTTTCTTTTTGGAGTTACTTAAGAGTTTTACTTATTGCTGTTCTTAAATTCCTTCCCCTACCACTTCCTCTTGGGCTTTTTTATTTCTCTTGTTGATCAATCTCTTTTTTGTGATACTTTTCATTGAATCATCTCGACTCCTTTATCCCATCCTTTACTGACTCAAACTCCTTATGCTGAACTTTTCAATCCAAAATTTCTATTGTTTTAGGACTCTGGGAAGCAGTTGATAAAAAGATAACACGAGCTACTGATATGGTCAGGAGATGTTTTCTAAACAAATTGTAGAAATATAAACATGAAATGTGGCAATGATCCCTTTAATTAGATCATTGAGCAATAAAGGATATGAACCATTAGTATAAATATTCAATTCAGTCTTTCCGGATTGTGTTGTTAGATAAGAATACATCCAAAAAGGGCCACAGATCGAGGGAGAAACCAAGGAGGGGTGAGGTCATGGTTGAGTGTAAATTGGTTCTGTCATGTGGAGGCCGGAGGTGAGGGACTGTGGTGGGACATCATCTGGTGCCAGCCCCATCCTGTACCTCAGATAGGTCTCCGTGAAAAGGAGGGACATCAGTGCAAGCAGTGGGGCTAAAGACCAGCACAGCAACAGAGACTAGAACCTTGGATGCAAGTATTTTGGGCAAAGAGGAATAATTAGTAATCTTTGGTATAATTTAAGGCACATCAAAAAAATCCCCTATTCTCAAATATCTGACCTACACCTTGAAATTCCTACCATTGGACATTCTTTTGATTTAAGCCTTTAACTAACAAATGCCAATATCCTACTGCTCAAATATTGACATTCTATCTGGGAGGGGCTGCTCATTATCATCCACCAAATGCCCATAGATCTCTAGGACAGGGTAGGTTTTGATGAAAAAGCAGCGCATGAATATTATAATGGGGGTCTTAGACAAGATGATGATGGTGAGGAACTGAGGAGTAAAACTATAGGACTATAATAAAGAAGAAATTCAGAGCACCAAAACAAAACATTAAGGAATGCTAATTTCCTCCTTAACTCCCAACTTTTCCTAGTCAGGCCCCGGCTCATAGGTCAAGGAGCTGACAGGACGGTGGGTACCTCAAAGCGAGGCTGAGCTCATAAGGCCACAGGGAAGGGTGCAACTCAAATTTGGGAGGTTCTGTTCACCACTGGGGGGCTAGTATTGGGAAAAGGTCCTAGGACACTGGGATGGGCATGTAATCCTCACTCAGGGGTGTATAAGTCTGTCTGAGGGTTGGGGGTAGGGGTGGAGGGTTCTGTCCTTGTGTAGGGGTGGAGACTTTTCTATTAGAGAAGTCCAGGGTGCATGTTTTGGGGAACAGTGAGGGAAAAGTTGTTGGGGCTCAGGCTGGGCTGGGTCTGGGCCTAGTGGCCACTCAGCCAGAGGACACTTTTCAATCTGGACCAAGTTGCTTCAAGTAGAGTGTTGCTGTGAAATACTTGGAAAGGAAATAAGGCACTCTTGTCTTCATTTCTGTTCGATACAGTCAACTCCCAAGGTGTTGTCAGGGCAACGGCAGGTCCTGCTCCCTGGGGTGGCCAAGCATAGGTGGGTGCAGCCGCCATTGTTCACTGAGCAGTAGTTATGGCCTGGAAAAGGCAGAAATCAGTTCAATAGCCCTCTCTCTGATCTGACTCCATAGCCATTTAAGATAGTGGGCTCCTTCTTGTGTGTGATCCCCCTTTTAGTTTCCTTGAAGCCATGCTAGGAAGGCTTCAGGAGAATGGGGACACTGTGCTAGGCAGTCAGCTGAGCTGATCCATTGTTTGTTTTATCAGCATTAAACCAGACACAAACACTGATTCCCAACTTGGGGGTTATGCAGATTTTCTACTAAGGCTATTAAACAGATCTCAGGGGGAAGTTCTCCAGCTCTGATTATAACATAGAATTGGAATTTTAAAGTGCAAAGTTCTTTTTATGTAGCTTGCACTCCTAGCTTCACACTGACAGAAGAAGATGAGGGAAGCTGAGAAGGAAAGTGGGTGAGGGGAGAGGCCTTCAAGAGGCAGCATAGCATAGACTCCAGGGCCAGGCTGCCTGGACTTGCCCCTGTGAGCTGTGTGACTTGGAGCAAGTTGCTTCAGTTTGCTTATTTATGAAATGAACATAATAATAGTACCTACCTCACAGGGTTGCTATGAGGATTACATGAACTAACAAATACAAAGTATTTAGAACTCTAAGTGAGTTGATATATGTAAAGTTCATAGCTCACAGTAAGTGCCACACATATGTTTTCAATTCTTATTATTAATTATTGTTATTGCTGTTAGGCCAGATGGATGGACTTTTAAAGGAGCAGAGATCCTAACATTGTAATATCCTAACCTGACTATTTGGAACCTGAAGACCCTATGCTTTTATATCCAGCCCAAAACTCAATGCTTTTCCTCATCCTGACAACTTCATGACCTAATATTTTCTGTTTATTTAACTGGTTCACCTGCTAATGAAGACCCTGGATGCAAAGGACTGGATCTCTCTTACGGCATAATCAAGGCTACTAGTGGCCATACGGGTAGCAGCCAGAGTGTGGGCTCTGAGCCTCCATGTGCCCCCAGTATGCCAACAGTAACAGCACAGGAGAGTTACCTTGCGGACACTGAGACAGGGCCGTGGTGATGCCATACAGCCGGGTCTGCTTGTGGGGTTGGAAAGCATCCGTCTCCTTGGAAATTGCAAGATCGAGAGCAACCACGGAATTCCTACAAAGCACCAAAGGGCAGAAGGTGAAAACACATCTGATGGCTTGAACTTGTATCTAAACAAGGCAGCCTCTTTGTCATTTTGAGGATAAACTGGAGGCCATAAACAGACATGATGGCCTTCTTCCTAGACATCCCTTCCTTCCCCTGGGGTGGGTCAAGCCTGCATTTCTCTGGCTTTTTACAAAAGGGTAAAGACCAGTTAGCTCTCCCCTCCCACTCTAGATCCCAGGCAGGAAATGAGCTTTCTAGACAGATGCCCCTGGCCAGTTGTCTTCTCAGTTTAATCCCTCCTTTTGCAGGAAGGGGTAGTCAGGAAGAGGCCGTGGGAATATTGCAGTTTAACAACTATAATGAAGCAGGGACATGAAGTGGACATGGAGCCCACCGGCCACGTGACCCTGGGCCAACTCCTGGGGAAAGAACAGACGTGCTGAGGAAGTCCAGGTTTAAAGACTTGAAACCACACAGTCAGGAGCATCTGGATGATAAATGGCACCTCCTGTCCCCTAGGGCCTTGTCCTCCCTCCTTCTTCATGCTCCTCTCTTGGCTCCTGACAACCAGAAGGATAAGGGAGAGGGGACATCTCTAGAGGGGGCATTTCTGGAGGCTCAAAAGTCAAGCCAAGAGGCCAGATGGGAAGGGCCTGGCCTCCCAGAGACAGTGGGTGGAGGGGCAGGCCCACGCAGCCCCCATGGCTACAGCTGACGTACATCTTCCAGTCTGTGAAATACAGATTCTTCCCGTAGCTCGTCACAGCAAAAGGATACTGGAGCCCTTCGAGAGCCTTGCGTCTGCTGGGCTGACTGGGGTTCAGGCATTCCGCCCGATTGGTGCCTGTGTGGAGTGGAAACAATTCATTCATTGTTCACACAAGAAATGGCCCCTTTGTGCAAAAAAAACAAGAGTAATGAGGGCAAGAGTGGGAGAAATTAAGCATTACAATGACAAGTCCCAGAGAACACATGAGGCTTGCTCTTAAAAACTGGCAAGTTGTCTCTTCCTCCCGTGTTGCTTCTGCTGGGGAGGCACGAGCCAGGGCAGACTAATGTAAGTTGTGAATTGCTTATCGGTATCAGGGTGACTCCAGGCTCTGTGCAGTGCCACTTACAACACGAGGGTGGCCAACTTTTTCTTAAAGCACCAGATAGTAAATTATTTCAGGTTTTGCAGGCCAGGAGGCAAAACCAAGGACAGTATGCAGGTATCTATACAATTTTGTACCAGTATATATTTAATGTACCAGATAAAACCGTAAAAACCATTCATAGCTTCTGGGTTATATAAAAACAGGTGGCTGGTTAGATTTGACCCCAGGGCCCTAGTTTGCCCACCCCTGACTTAGGAGATTGAGACCCGCCCTGGACAGTGTCCAGCTTTCCATCACCTGCATCCACCCAGCAGAGCTGAGATGAGAACGCATCGAAGGTCAGTCCATTGGGCAAGCCCAGGTCATCCTGCACAAGGATCCTCCGGTTCGTGCCGTCCATGTAGGAAGTTTCAATCTTGGGGTTATCTCTGTTCCAGTCTGTCCAGTAAAGGTTCCTGGAGGAGGAAAAAGGGGGGAAAGAGGAAAAGAAATAATAAGGATGCATGAGAAAAAGTTTATGAAAAACACTTGAAAAGAATTACAATGAAGTGATTGGCAGACATGAAAACAGAATGACTGAAAGGATCGAGAGGTGATAAAACACATTTTCTTTTGCAAAGATACTTGAATTTGGTTCCTCATTTGAGTTTGGTGATTCTGTTACTAACAAATTTGGTTCCCTTTAACATAACTGACATATAATATCTCAATGAAGCTGTTAGCAAAAGAAAACAAAGTAAAGGGCTATAACTGGCATAAATATATGGAATTCCCTGCATGAGGCCCACATGGAGGAGAGCACAGCAGACCCAGGGGACCAGACTAGGACAAGAAGCAGATGTTGGCAGGGGCTGTGGTCAAAGTACCTGCCTTCAAGGAGGAGGCTGAGTGGCCACAGAATAGGAGATGTGGTCTCAAAGGGAAGGAATCAGTGTCGAGGAACTAAGAGCCTGTTGTGTAAGAGGTAGAGCTTGCAGTAAGAAGGAAGAGAAAGCATGGATGTGCCGAAGAAACACACAGGAAGGGATCTCCAGGGTGTTCAGTCTGGGTCTGCCCCTGAAAGCAGCCTCAGCAGTCCATTTATGCCGCCCTGCTACTCTTCTGGAGTTGATATAACCTGAGTGTTGATCCACATTGAAGCCATATGGAAAATATCCAATTTCTGAGCATGCCAACTTGTAAAGTCTCCTGGCAAAAGATTTGAAAGTGGGACATGGTATCAAGTCCACACTGTAATACATGTTCTGGCATTGTACCGTGGATATCTACAAGTCACCAAAACTGTAGACTCTTTCGTCCCGTACTCATTAATTTCAGGAGACCAATGCTGGAGTTAAAGCCTCACATCTGAGAATCTCTAAAAGGGCAGATGCAAATCAAAGAGATGCACACACATATTTACACAAAGATACCCTCTCACGGAATCCGTTACAATGCCTCTGGGATTCACCAAGTCAGTCTCAAAGAGCACCCGGCGCTGCGTGCCGTCCAGCTTCGCCACTTCTATTCGATCCAGGTTAGAGTCTGTCCAGAAGATGTTGCGGCCAAGGTGATCAACAGCGATACCTTCTGGACTTCCAAGATCTAGAAGTAAACACAGAGCTCCTCTAATTTTTTTTGTTTTCTAAGCAGCTGAGATGAGGTTTTTCTGAATACTCAATGTTATTTCACATGGTGTCCAATCCCTGCACTTTAAGAAACCAAATGGGAATGTGAAATGCTTGTTGTTTATAAGATAAACAACACTCAAAGTGACAAATTCAAAAATGCCATTTACTCACTCTGTGGGTATCCATCATGCTGCACGTTGGGAACCAGGACAGTAACAATGACTAAGCCGAGGCCCAGTTTTCCATGAGCCCACAGCCAACCACAGTTGAGACTGAGTTCCAGGTCCTATGGGAGCCTGGAGGAGGAACCCCAGCCTGGGGAGAACAGGGAGGGGTTCCTGGGGGAGGTGACATTGCTTGAAGCTGGCACCTGAAGGACCAATAGCAGTTTGTCAAACAAGGATCCTGGATGAGGGCTTTTTAGGTAGCGAGACTGGCACATAGGTATAAAGGAAGGCTGGATGGTGGCTTAAAGTGAACAGGATGTCATTGTATGTGGCTGGAGACTATGAGGGTGGGGGAGTGGTCAGAGATGAAGGTAGGAGGCCATGTTAATGAACTTAGAACTTAGGCAGAGGGGAGGCAGTGGAAGATCTTAAGATAGGGAATGGAAAAATAGTTCTATCTTGTTCATTAGCTATCGGGGATAAAGGTCATTGAAATAATACTTTCAAGAAACCATAGCTGCTATTACTTTCATACAAGTATAAGGGGTACAAAGAAGGGGTGTCAGTGATTACAAATAACACCCCAGTCTTTACTGGGTTATAGCAACTGATTTTCAAGCCAGGAGTTGCCACTGGGTAACATGAACCTTCACTGCAAACCCTCAGCACCCATCTAACTTTACTGGAAGCTGAAGATTACATTGGTGTTTTATTATATAGTTTTTTTAAATTAATAATAACGATTGTGTTTTATTGATATCACTTAGGACTCTTTCCCTTCTACTGATTAAAGGAATGAAGGTCATTTAGTATGACTGGAGTATAAGCAGGAAGGAGAAGGGGCTACCCTACCTGAGGGATCTGGGGTATGAGGCAACCATTCCAATACTGTGGGTTTTTTTGTTTTGTTTTGTTTTTGACAGAGTCTCATTCTGTTGCTCAGGCTGGAGTGCAGTGGTGCCATCTCAGCTCACTGCAAACCTCCACCTCCTGAGTTCAAATGATTCTTTTGCCTCAGCCTCCCGAGTAGCTGGGATTACAGGTGCGTGCCACCATGCCCGGCTAATTTTTGTATTTTTAGTAGAGACAGGGTTTCACCATGTTGGCCAGGCTGGTCTCAAACTCCTGACCTCAAGTGATCCCCCGCCTTGGCCTCCCAAAGTGTTGGGATTACAGGCATGAGCCACCACACCTGGCTCCAATACTGTGTTCTTCTGTGGACATACAAGCAGTGCAGACCCTCAGCCCCCTTTGCATTAGCCTTCGCCAGAGCCCTAATATGATGGTGACCTTGGATGCTGGACACATCAGAGCCCCCAGAAAGAAAGCCCGCCAGAGGAAGTTTATTGAGAATTAGAAACCCCACTTGAACAAGATCTTTATTATCTAAACACAAAGTAGAGATTTTTAAAATATTAAAATATTTCCCATGTCCCTAGATGAACAGGGACAGTGAGACTGACCTCCAAAGGTCCCTTCTGGCTTTCAGATAGAAACAGAATAAGTCATTCTGGAGTATATTTGGAATGAGCACATCCTGTGTGAGAGACAAGAGCCACTCAGATATACGCAAATAAAACAGAGAATATAGGCTGCTCTGTGAGAGCATCTTTGCGAGGCACCTGGAGGAAGCTCCATGAGCTCCGTGCATATTGTCTCCTTAGAACCAGCCTTGGTCCCGATCTCAAACCCAAGAGCAACCAACCCCCTCTCCCTCAACTCAAAATACTTCTTTATGAGCTACTCTTCCAAGGGAAAGGTCTGGATAATCTTATCCTTCAATGTGCAGTCCGAGGAAGAAGTATTCCTTACTGCTTACCTCAAAGATATGATACTTTTTAGAGATACTTGGTTGGGTCTGTAACTCAAGGAAAGAAAGAAAGCCTGGGATCCGGGCTGTTATGAAATAAGGAAGAAATGAAAATGATACCTAACTGTCACTCTCACTCACTAGGGAAGCACCAACCTGTACCATGCTAAGGAGATAACTGGAAGCTTCTTTCTCTCTTAAAAAAAAAAAAAAGAAAATTATTCCCAGTGATCTTTCTTCTACAAAGATCACATTTTGGTTTAATTCTGTGTTTTCACAGTAACTAGGCTTTTGCTTGGAATGCTTCTTACTGTGCTTACAGCGTTCTTGGATGGTTATGAGCTCCAAAAGCAACAGGAAATAGCAAACAATGACCTATTCCCCTCTTCCACTGGGTTTTAAAATGAAATCATAGATAATAACAATAACATTTTTAACACACGGAGATAGGCATTTTCAAACTGTTTTTCACTAAACCAAAGCATGAAAACTGGAAGACATGATTTAAATAGCCTGTTGGCTTCCAGAAAAGGGTTCAGGGTCTATGTCCAAAGCCAGACATAGTTAATTCAACCTCAGCTTCATTCCTGCCGCATCATCTTTACTGAAGGCAACAAAGAAGGGAAAAAATGCTTCGGGAGTTGTTCCACAGGCACAGGAAATCTTCTAGAATATCAATTGTGAGGGAAACATTCCATTGAAAATAGAAAAAACTACATTCAGTGCCAAGTAAAAAGAAATACAAAATGAGGCTGCTCTATTTTAAAGATGTATCTTTGATGTGAATATTTTGCAGAGAACGCAAGGTGACTCCACAGAACAAATATCATCAGCATGACAATGCCATAGGAGCAAAAATATTCCCAAGTCAGTTGATGAGTCGCTGAATTAAGCAACATGTAATACTTGACCATTTCAGCACAGTGGAATTTTTAGAGGCCTTTGGATTTTTGTTGTAATGGTCTTTCAACTAGATAAATCATACCCATGTAAAACAGTCTTGATTTGTTGAAGGTAGGCATGAAAAACAAAGCACAGAGTCATTGGTTGAAATTGGCATCCTTAATGAGGAATTTCCTCAATTGAGGAATTGAGGTTGAACACTGAAAAGTAGATTGTGCCTGCCGGGCGCCGTGGCTCACACCTGTAATCCCAGCACTTTGGGAGGCCGAGGTGGGCGGATCACGAGGTCAGGAGATAGAGACCATTCTGGCTAACACGGTGAAACCCTGTCTCTACTAAAAAAAAATACAAAAAATTAGCCAGGCATGGTGGCGGGCGACTTTAGTCCCAGCTACTCGAGAGGCTGAGGCAGGAGAATGGCGTGAACCCAGGAGGCAGAGCTTGCAGTGAGCCAAGATCACGCCACTGCACTCCAGCCTGGGTGACAGAGTGAGACTCTGTCTCAAAAAAAAAAAGAAAAAAAAAAGTAGAACGTGCCTAAACTTTACACACTTTATCGTAGTAATGCAACAAAAGACTGAGAAATGTTTGTGAAAGTTTGGCTTCATTTGCTGTTCTTCTCTGGCATACATGGCCACTTTGGCTGCTAGAAGCAAAACCAAAAAGGAAAAATGATATTTGCTTACTTACCTTGTCTAATGATGGTGGTTGGCTCTCCACCATGTAGACTAGCTCTCCCAATGGAAGGCTCAGTGATGTCCGTCCAGTAAACCATCTTGTCCACGCAGTCAAAGGCCAGTCCAATGATGACTTTAGCCTGGATGTGAAGACCAGTGGTTAGAATGGTCCATCTACAAGCATCTGATAGTGAGAATCTTTTTGCGTGCCTACAGGCATTTGGATATCTTTTGTAATGAAGTGTCAAGTGTTTTGTTCATTTAAAAATTTTTATTATTGAGTTGTAGGAGTTGTTCGTATATTTCAGAAAAAACTCCTGTCATATACACATATATGCACATCTATATGTATAGGAATTTGTGTGTGTGTGTGTGTGTGTGTGTGTGTGTATATATATGCATAAATATGTATTTTTTGAGACAGGGTCTCTGTTGCCCAGGCTGGAGTGTAGTGGCGTGATTACTGCTCACTGCAGCCTCAACCTCCTGAACTCGAGTGATCCTCGCCCTCAGACTCTCAAGTAGCTGGGACTACAGGCATGTGCCACCATGCCTAGCTCATTTCTTAAAATTTTTTGTGGCAACAGAGTCTCACTGTCTTGCCCACTCTGGTCTTAAACTCCTGGCTCAAGCAAGCCATCTGACTCAGCCTCCCAAAGTGCTGGGATTACCAGCACCAGCCACTGCACCCACCCATTATTTCTTCTCAGTATGTAGTTTGCTCTTTCATTTTCTTAATAGTGTTTGGAAGAGCAAAAGTTTTTGATGTTTAGTAAGTCTAATTTATTATTTTTTCCCTTTATGGCTAATGCTTTTTGAATACTAAGAAATCTTTGCCTACTTGAAGGTGATAAAGAAAAAGAAATAAAAGGCATACATATTGAAGAAGTAAAATTACTCTATTCTAAGATAATATGGTTATTTATGTAGAAAGTCATGGGGAATCTATAAAACTGCTATAATCAAAAGTGAATCTAGCAAGGATGCAAGATACAAAGTCAATATAAAATTATTTTTCTATATACTAGCAAAATATAGAAAATAAACCTTAATAATTGTGACAGCATCAAAAAAAAAAACCAGAAAATATATAAGGATAAACATTTTTAAATATGCAGGATTCCACAATGAATACTATAAAACATTGCAGCATGAAACTATAAAAGACCCAAATAAATGAAGGGATAAATAAGGTTAAATGTAAACAATTTACATTTAAATTGTAGCTGGGACTACAGACATGTGCCAGCACACCTAGTTAATTTTTCTATTTTTTTGTAGAGACAGCGTCTCACTATGTTGCCCAGGCTGGTCTCGAACTCCTGAGCTCAACTGATCCAGCCGCCTGGGCCTCCCAAAGTCCTGAGATTACAGACGTAAGCCAGTGCGCCCAGACAAGGCTGTGCACTTTTAAGATATTCACTCTCTTAAACCATCACAACCAAATGCTCAGGCCTCAACTGTGGGTACCTCCTTCACGGCATCCCATGCCTATCAACTTCTCTGGCCTTCCGTGGTATTAAGGAAAGAGAACATTTCCTTCAGCAAACATGCTCATCAACTTCTCTGGCCCTCCATGGCTTTAAGGAAAGAAAACATTTCCTTCAGCAAACACGCCCAGAGTCCTTTTCCACACATTAGTTCTTACAAAAGTGAGACAGAAAAGGACCAGAGGAAGCAAAGTTGAGTAACATTTTACATGTGATTTGAGTTTCATGAAAATCTACTGGGCTATTGTTTGGTTTGAAAAGCCACTGAGAGTTAGCTCTGAGTAAGCCAGCCTCTCCTCAGACAAGGCAAATCAATTACCTGCCAGTAACTCATTAATGAGTATTTATTAGGTGCTCATTATGTATGACGAACTATGGTGATACATAGACAAAACTCCAACCTAGAAAGAACACTGAGTTGCTTAACTTCTCTAAAGCAACCACCTCAAAACAAGCCATCTGCCCATAGGTTGATTTGGCAAAGCCTTGTCGAGATCTTTTGCAAATTAAAATATTTTAAAACTATAGGAATTCATACTTATGTAAAATTTAGCCATTGGGAGAAACCAGGTGAAAGGTACACAGGACCTCTCTGTATACCTTTCCAACTTCCTGTGGCTCTGATTACTTCAAAATAAAAACTTAAAAACAAAACAGAAGCACAAACTTTTCCCTTGATCAGACAGTGAGGAGTTCCTTTCTTTAGATGCTGCCCATGAGAGGCTCAGGAAGAAGCTGCCGGGCTGTATGATCTCAGCATGTGGTGAGGTTAGATTCTGTCAATAGCCTGGAAACTATTGAAACACTGAATTGTTCAGGTACAAGAAACCCTGGGAGTGGGTTCTTGGTCGTGGACACAGTACTAGGCATTACGAAGCCAGGGAAGGTCTCAGGAGGGAGGGTCTCAGGACCAAGGAAGTGGTGGACCAGGATGATCTTTTACTGGGAAAATCAGGAGGATGAGCACATACTTCCTCCTCAAGGGGTCAAGTCAAAAAGGACAGTGACCCTTACCTCACACCACATACAAAAATTAACTCAAATGAATCAAAGACCTAAATGTAAGAGCAAACTTATCAAACTCTTAGAAGAAAACCAGGGAGAAAGCCTCATGACATTGGATTTGGCGACAATTTCTTGGATATGATACCAAAAGCACAGGCAACAAAAGAAAAAAAAAGGTAAATTGGACTACATCAAAATTAAAAATGTCTGTGCATCATAGGACACAATCAAGAGAGTGAAAAGACAACCCATGGAATGGGAGAAAATATTGCGAATCATGTATCTTTTAAAGAGTTAATATCCAGAATATATAAAGAATTCCCACAACTCAACAACAACAAAAGAACTGATCAAAAAATAGGCAAAAGGATTTAAGTAGACATTTCTCCAAAGAAGATATACAAGCGGCCAATAAGTACGTGAAAAGATGTTCAGTGTCATAAATTATTAGGAAAATGCAAATCAAAACCACTTCACACCCGTTACAATGGCTATCATTAAAAAACAAAAACAGCCAACAAGTTTTGGTAAGGATATGGAGGAGTTTAAACCCCTGTGCTCTGCTGGTGAGTAGGTAAAATGGTACAACCACTGTGGAAAACAGTATGGTTGTTCCTCAAAAAATTAAATATAGAATTACTGTATGATCCAGCAATTCCACTTTGGTATATGTATCGAAAAGAAGTTAAAGCAGGGACTCGAACAGATATTTGTATACCCATGTTCATAGCAGCATTATTTGCAAAAGCCAGAAGGTGGAAGCAACTGCTGATAGATGAATAAATACACAAAATACGGCAGATCCGTACAATGGGATTTCAGCCTTAAGAAAGAAGGAAATTATGACACATGCTACAATGTGGATGAACCTGAGGACATTATGCTAAGTGAAATATGCCAGACACGAATGACAAATACTGTATGATTCTGCTTCTAGGAGGTACCTAGAAAAGTCAAAAGTATAAGGGCAGTAAGTAGAATCGTGGCTGCCAGGGGCTAGGACATGGGTGGAGGGAGAATGGGGAGGTATTGTTTAATAGCTTCAGTTTGGGATGATGAAAAAGTTCTGGAGATGAATGGAGGTGATAGTTGCATAACATTGTTTATATTCTTAATACCACTTTCAACAGGTTTTTAAAAGATGGTGAATGTTTATCCCGTTGTTTCAGCATTCCCCCTTCCACCACCTAGCCCACTTAAATTATCTGCTTTTTTTTTTTTTTTTTTTTTTGAGACAAGAGTCTCATTCTGTTGCCCAGGATCTCAGCTCACTGCAACCTCTGCCTCCCAGGTTCAAGCAATTCTTGTGCCTCAGGCTCCCAAGTAGCTGGGATTACAGGAACGCACCACCATGTGCAGATAATTTTTGTATTTTTAGTAGAGATGGGGTTTCTCCATGTTGCCCAGGCTGTAAATTATCTGCTTTTTATTGCCTCACATGACATTTAGCCTCTCCCCTTGGTCTTGGGAAAGAATGTCTTTCACAGGGAATTTAACCCATTCCTATTACCTGAGAGCATGTGCTGGAGATGGAAATGACACAGATGATCTTCAAGGTTTACATTTTCAGCAAGGCAATAGATGAATACAATGATCATGCATGCATTTGTTCAGCAAATATTTTTTTGAGTGCTTCCTATATGCCAAGCAGTTTTGGGTCTAGAAATACCACATGAAACCAATACCTCCATGAAACAAATGAACAGTTCCTGTCTTGTGGTGCTGATATTTTAATAGGAAGATACATGTCAGATACACAACACAAATATGGGTATTTAATGCATCACATAGTGCCAAGAGCGCTGATGAAATACAAAGCAGCATAAAGAGCTAGAGAGCAGTGGTGGCTGCTGTCTGGACAGGGGGATCAGGACAGGCCTCTCTGAGAGATGATGTTTTGGCAGAAATTTGCATGAAGTGAGGCAGTGAACTGTGCAATTGTCAGGCAGGGGGAACTGCAAGTGCAAAGGCCCTGAGACAGAAATGTGCCTGGTGTGTTCCAGGACCAGCCAGAGGGCCAGAGGGTTGAAGTTGGTAAGTGAGGTGAGAGTGGTAGGGAACAGGGTGGGAGAGGGAGCCAGAGGCCAGATCCTATAGGGCTTTGAGGGCCATAAAAAGGACTGGATTTTATTCTGAGTGAAGAGGCAACCCATTTGAGAGCTTTGTGCAGGAAAAGGACATGAATCTCATAAAGACTTCTTTGCAAGAGGCTTTTGAAAAGTATTTTTATTTTGGATACTTTTTTGCTGATGTTTCCTCCCTGGTCCCAAAGAAGGGATGTGGCTGTGTGTGGCATCTATGAAGTGGAGATCAATTCAGGAAGAGTAAATAGAAAAAGAAGAAAACACAATGGGTAGAGAAAGGAGGAAGAGAAGAAAAGCTGGAGGTTGGTCCTGTGGCAGGCAAGATGGCCCAAGTAGCATCTTTACCAAGAATCTTCAAGTAGACTTTGTGCCTCCAGTGAGGAATGATAGGGCTTTCTGCCAGACTTTCTTTTACAAGAGCCAATGATCTCAGACCCTCCCCTCTCCTTCACTCCTCATAGGACCCTCACAGCCCCTCCCACTGCTCCAGCAATTCTGACTCAGCCTTGTAGTGGAAGCCTGCAGGTCTCAGGTTTGGTTTCTTGGCAGGGGTCAGGATCAGATAAAACCGAATGGCTTTTCTGAATTGCCCAACCTCTATCTAATGGGAAAAGAAGTCCCTAAATCACAAAATGCATCTCTGAAGCTTTGAAAGCCTCTAAAAACTCCAATGCTTGTTGCTACGTCAGAGCAGATATGAGGCTCTTAAATTGAGCAGCTGCTGAAAGATGAATCACTATGAATTTGGCAGGGGAATGGAAAGATCACGAGCAGCTCAGCAATACAGTGGCCCCATCTAGAGATGGTCACCCAGGACTACATGGAATGAGCACCCATGGTTCCAGGGGTTGAGCCTGGGGTTCTGGTCTGATATCGTCCTGCTTGTTTTTCCAGGTCACTGAAGCAGGAGCTGTCACCAGGTATAATCAGCCAGCACTCACCGGGACATGAAGGAACGCCTTTGCTTCTGTCTTCCTCATGGTATTTCCCTCCAGGGGCAGGCGCTCAATCTTCCCAGTCTGGGCAAAGAGTAAATGGGTCCCAGGAGGCAAGGGGATCACGGCGGTAGGCACCGCAGGTCCTTGGTGAATCGGGGGAGCCACTGTACTCAGACCTGCATGGCAGAGGGGGTCAGTGAGGGAGGCCCGTGTGCACCAGGAACACACAGATGCACACACACACACCCCCACACACATGCACGCATGCACACACATACACACACCCACACATCAGGTCACATCACCTTCATGGCACCACAAACTGCCACAGCCACACAATGCCCATTTTATAGCTGAAAGCACCAGAATTAGAAAGCCCTCAGTCAATCAAAGAGCACTGATGAAGAAGGTAATACACAGCATTAAAAGTCACGTGAAAAAAAATGGCTTGGCCTCCCTCTTTTTTTTGAGACGGAGTCTTGCTCTGTCACCCAGGCCAGAGTGCAATGGTGCGATCTTGGCTCACTGCAACCTCTGCCTGCCTGGTTCAAGAGATTCTTGTGCCTCAGCCTCCTGAGTAACTGGGATTACAGGCATGCACCACCATACCCAGTTAATTTTTGTATTTTTAGCAGAGATGGGGTTTCACCATGTTGGCCAGGCTGGTCTCGAACTCCTGACCTCAAGTGGTCTGCCCACCTAGGTCTCCCAAAGTGCTGGGATTACAGGTGTGAGCCACTGTGCCCGGCCGGCCTCCCTCTTAATAGAAAAGCTTTGGCTACCCATGCTCTGCTTTAGGCACTGGTGCTAGAGGAAGGAACCAAATAAGAGCAGCACCAGCAGCACCAGCGGTAGCACAACAGCGAAAACAGCATCCCTGAACTCCCTGCCCACAGGGAGCCAGGTTCTAGTGCAAACTATTGAGCTTTTCCATGCTGGAGGAGCCTGTCAGAATGAGTTGCCCCATACAGTGCACTCTGTCCCAGTGCCACAGGGATGGGAGAGCCTGGGGCCTGACAAGCAAGAACATGACGTTTATGGGCTTCCAAGAACAAAATCATGGCCAGGGGCTCCTTTTCCCTCAGAATCAGGCTTGCCTTCCTATCTCCTGACCTCAACCCCTCGCCGGGCTCCTTGATTCACTTGATGAGACAATGTCCCAGGAGGGACACACAACTGTGCTGCAAAGCAAGGAGGGCTAAGAGGGCTGATTGGGTGTCTGGAGACCTGAGCCCTGTCCTGGCCCCTCTACTCACTCGCTGTGTGCACAGGGCATGCATCTTCCAGAGCCTGGTCTCCTGCTCTCTACAGTGAGAGCTGGACAAGGTTGTCCCCAAGGTCACTTTCTCTTGTCTATCTTGCCTATTACACCCAATCGGTGACACAAACCAATCTGGTCAACCTCTTTCATATCTCTGAAATCCATCCGTTTCTCACCTGGATTCATCGTAAGTAGTGCAACAGCCTTCACCTCCCCCCGCCAGGGACTGTCAAGCCTGCCTCTCAGCTTCTACCCCCACAGCCAGTGATATTCTAAAACTAAACCCTGCTTCACATGGGCGCCTGCTCCAAACCCATCCCAGGCTCCTCGTTGCCCTCATGACCAATACTCAGGCTTAGAAACGTGGCTCACACGGTGCTGCTTCTGGAAAGCCTCACCCATGAGCCCACCGCCCCACGCAAGCCAGGATTCCGCCTCGGCTCCCTGGTCGCTGTCTGCTTCTCCTAAAGCTCATCTCCCTACACTGTTCCTGTCTATTCACCGTCCTTTCCGCTTCTTGGGGGCCCAGCACCGTGACTTTCCTCTGGGCATCCTAGCACCCACCACAGCACTGGCCCCTCAGTGAATGTTGGCTGTGTGAACGAGTGAAGTTTCTGAGTAATTGTTTTACTGTTTCTTAGCAGCTTCGGGGAAATATTTGATAGGATATCAATCAATGATTATTAGCTAAATTGTGAGTGGAGATTCAAAGATTCATTATATTCGCTTTTGGTAGTTTGTGACAATAACCAATTTCTACATTTGCAACGGAAGGAGAATTTTAGAGCTGGGAATCACTCTCGGGGTTATTTTGCCTCATGTTTAGGTTGAGACTGGGGACGCTGAGGCTGGGGAAAGTGTCTGTCCAGAGTCACACAGGGCCCCTGGCCCCCAGGACAGCAGCTTCCCACTGCCTCCGGTGATGGTCTTAGAGCCAGCTCATGCAGAAAGCTTTGTGGCTGTTTGCTCCTTGGATTGGAAAATCAACCCAAGTAACTAAAGGCCCTAGGGCACGACTGAAGGAGGCAAGGGGTGCAACGGTCTGAACAGGCCCTACTGCCTAGGGCACAGAGCCCTGGGGAAGGGTTCAGGTTGGTCCCCACCATCCCTGCCATGTCCCAGTGCAGGAACATTCCACCTCCACGCCTCCCTTGGCAGAGAGTTCTTCTGGGAGGCCTGGAGCACACACAGCCGCTCTGCTACCATTACAGGTACCGCTGTGGCAGGCCCCACTGGGTATTTACACCCTACACGTGTGTGTGTTGGGTGGGGAAGGAGAAAGAAGAGGGTAAGAGAACAGAGAGGGTGAGGAGGAGAGGAAGCACGGGGAGGAGCGGGGTAAGTGAGAGGGAAGAAGGGTGCAGCAGGAGCGGGTGGGGCTGGAGCCAGTGGAACAGTTCAAGCTTTAGGTCCAGCAGAAGAGCAAAGAGCGTGTTCAGCAATTCCGGTCCCCCGAGGTCCTTCTCAGGCACACGCCCAAGCACGGCCTGCACCCACTTACACGGGGGCGTCATCCCGGGCCTGGTCCTGGTGCCCTCCACCTCGCGGCCGTCGCGATCCACGCACCAGCAGTAGCCGGTGCTGCCGTGGCACTGGGTGGGCGCGTAGTGCCCGTGCGCATCGCACTCAGGAACGAACAGCCCCGGAGGAATGGGTCGCTGTGGGTCTGTCGCCCCCGCTGCCCCGAGAATGTGTTCTCGCTCGTGCTGGCACCGGGTTTTCTCCACCTCTATCAGAGAAACAGGCAACAAGAAAGCTGTCAGGTGCGTCATCCGTCAGCGCTCCCTGGCGGGGCTGCAGGAGTCCCCGCAGCTCGCTCAGAACCACGAGGGCTGCCTGTGTGTCACTGGGTTTTGTTTCATCAGTTATTCAAAATGCAGAAACATCATTATTATTGAATAGGTTTGTCAAGAAAATGATATTTACATCTCCTTTATACTCCTAGGTAGTTCCTTTTAAAACACTTTTAAAAAATTGAGGCAAAAAGAAATGAAGCAAATTGATAGAACATACAGTGAACCTTTTTTTACTTTTTTGCGATGGCGTTTCGCTCCTGTTGCCCAGGCTGGAGTGCAGTGGCACGATCTCGGCTCACTGCAACCTCTGCCTCTCGGGTTCAAGTGATTCTCCTGCCTCAGCCTCCTGAGTAGCTGGGATTACAGGCACCCGCCACCAAGCCCAGGTAATTTTGTATTTTTAGTAGAGACAGGGTTTCACCATGTCAGCCAGGCTGGTCTCGAATACCTGGCCTTAGGTGATCCGCCTGCCTCAGCCTCCCAAAGTGCTGGGATTACAGGCATGAGCCACTGCGCCCTGCCAAGTGAACCATTTTTAAGTAAACAATTCTTTCACTTAGCAGAATGTTGTCAAGCTTTATCCAGGTGGTAGCATGTATTAGAACCTGCTTCATATTCATGGCTGAATAATATTGCATTGTAGGGACAGATCATATTTTGCTTATCCATTGATGAACATCACTGGGTTTTATTTTAAGAAAATTTTTTTGTTTGTTTTTTCTAAATGTGTCATTTTTATCATCTCAAACTTCTTCTTCTTCTTTTTTTTTTTTTTGAGACGGAGTCTCGCTCTGTTGCCCAGGCTGGAGTGCAGTGGCATGATCTCGACTCACTGCAATCTATGCCTCCCAGGTTCAAGCGATTCTCCTGCCCTAGGCTCCCGCATAGCTGGGATTACAGGCAAGCACCACCACCTCTGGCTGATTTTTATATTTTTAGTAGAGACGGGGTTTCACCATGTTGGCCACGCTAGCATCTCAAGCTTCTTGATAACCGACAAGTCAAGGCCAAAGATTTCAGGCACCAGATACCACCAAGTGCGTTTACCAACATTTGTATGTTTTCCTTTATTTATGTCCTGCTTTTTGGCATGGAAATTGACCTCTAAACTGTACAACTCAGATCTTAAGACAGGGAAATACAGTGAACACTCCATATCCACGGGTTCCACATTTGTGGATTCAACCAACTACAGATTGAAAATATTTGGAAAAATAAAAAGGATAGTTGTGTTTGTACTGAACATGAACAGATTTCTTTTTTGTCATCATTTCCTAAACAATACAACAACTTCTTACATGGCGTTCACATTGTACTAGGTATTATAAGTGATCTAGAGATGATTTAAAGTACATGGGAGGGTGTGCATAGGTTATATGCAAATACTACACCATTTTATATCAGAGACTTGAGTACCTGTGGATTGGTATCTTCAGGAACCAATGCCCCGTGGATACTGAGGGACAGCTGTACTTCTAAAGCTGTGGAATTGCTAGTAAACAACTTCCAAGCCGTAGTGGATTCCACACTGGTTAGAGTTCAGTCACCAGTCCAGAGTTGTAGCCTCTGCAGTATCGACCACACAAAGCAATGTCCAGACACTGGCAGGAGGTACCCATTCTCCACATCACTGTCTGCTAAGAGCTATACTTCATCCATGTCTTGTTGCCTCTCCCTCCCAGGCCTTTCCACGTGCTATTCTTTTTGTGACTGTCCTTCTCCCTGTCTGGTTAATCCTTCAGAAATCAGCTTAGGCACTTAACTCCCTTCAGGAAGTCTGTTCAGCTCCCCAGGGCTGAGTCCAATCCCCTCTGTGAGCTCTCAGGGTGATCTGGGCTTGCCCACACCATACCTGTATCTCACTGACTCTAAGGAGCTGTTCCTTGTTTATCTCTCTGGAAAAAATCTCCTTAACATTTAGTCAAGAAGCATCTACTCGGCCAGGCACAGTGGCTCACACCTGTAATTCCAGCACTTTGGGAGACCAAGGAGGGAGGATCACTTGAGTCCAGGAGTTCAAGAACTGGGCAACACAGCAAGACCTATATCTATAAAAAATAAAAACTTAGCTGGGTGTGGTGGCATGCACCTGTGGTCACAGCTACCTGGGAGGGTGGGGCAGGAGGATCTCTAGAGCCCAGGAGTTTGAGGCTGCAGTGAGCCATGTTCAGGCCACTACACTCCAGCCTGGGTGACAGAGCAAGACCCTGTCCCCCAAAAAACAAAACGAAAACCCAAAAAACCAAGAAGTACCTACTTGACTGTGCTGGGGGATGCACACAGGAATAACCCATAGCACCTGCTGTCAGGGAGCTCACAGTCTGGAGGGAAGCCAACAGCTGAACACACACTTTGCAATTCAGTGAGTGGCTGCCTTGACAGAGGGAGATAGCAGCTACACAGAAGAGACCGTCCACAAGGCATGGAGAGCCAAGGAATGCCTAGGTGCTTTTTTAAAAAATATATAATTTGTATTTCTCTTTTTAATTCTGTCCATTTTCACTCCATGTATTTTTTTTTTAAGACAGGATTTCACTCTGTCACCCAGGCTGGAGTGCAGTGGTGCAATCTCAGTTCACTGCAACCTTAACCTCCCAGCTCAAGCAACCCTCCCACCTCAGCCTCCTGAGTAGGTGGATCTACAGGCATGCGTCACCACACTTGGCTAATTTTTTGCATTTTTAGTAGAGGTGGTGTCTCACTAGGTTGCCCAGACTGGTCTCGAACTACTGAGCTCAAGTGATCCATCCATCTTGACCTCCCAAAGTACTGGGATTACAGGTGTGAGCCACCAAGCCTGGCCACTTCATGTATTTTTTTAAGTGGCAGGGTCTTGCTATGTTGCCCAGGCTGGCCTCCAGCTCCTGGACTCGAGTCATCTTCCTGTCTCAGACTCCTGTGCTTTTTTTTCTGAGATGGAGTTTTGCTCTTGTTGCCTGGGCTGGAGTGCAGTGGCGCGATCTCGGCTCACTGCAAACTCTGCCTCCCGGGTTCAAGCGATTCTCCTACCTCAGCCTCCCGAGTAGCCGGGATTACAGATTCTTGCCACCATGCCCGGCTAATTTTGTATTTTTAGTAGAAATGGGGTTTCACCATGTTGGTCAGGCTGGTCTTGAACTCCTGACTTCAGGTGATCCGCCCGCCTCAGCCTCCCAAAGTGCTGGGACTATAGGCATGAGCCACCATGCCTGGCCTCCTCTCTGCTTTTTTTTGATGAGTAGAAGATTGTGGTTGAATAGGTCTAGGGTAGGGCTCAACTGACTTCTCCTGTTAAGAGGAAGAATAAATATTTTCGGCTTTGTGGGCCATGAGGTCTCTGTTACGACTACGCAACTCTGTGGTTGTAGCATGAAAGCAACCATGTTTCATACCTCAATGAATGAGTGTGGCTTTCCCAATAAAACTTCATTTACAAAAACAAACAGTGGGCCAGATTTGGCCTATGGGGACTGTAGTTGCCAACCCCTGCTCTAGGCATTACCAGTTATGTTAAGGGGAAATATGTACTTATTTGTATATATGTTTACACATGTGTACATTAATTAATATATACTAAAATGTTAATTAATAATAAAAAATATACTGTAATCACATAGACTAGAATATTATATATTTCTCAGAATTTTGCACCTGGGAATGTTTTTGACTCTCAGTTCCATTACTTTTTTTTTTTTTTTTTTTTTAAATTAGAGTCTCACTCTGTCTTGCACAGGCTGGAGTGAAGTGGCCTGATCTCAGCTCACTGCAACCTCTGCCTCCTGGGTTCAAGCAGTTCTCCTGTCTCAGCCTCCTGAGTAGCTGAGACTACAGGTGCCCACCACCATGTCTGGCTAATTTTGAATTTTTTTGGTAGAGACGGGGTTTCACTATGTTGGCCAGGCTGGTCTCGAACTCCTGACCTCAGGTGATCCACCCACCTCGGCCTCCCAAAGTGCTGGGATTACAGGTATGAGCCACCATGCCTGGCCTCAGTTCCATTACTTCTGGTGTCACCTTGTACATGTCAATGATACAGATTAAGCTGTGCCTCCTGCAGCAGTGGAACAGGGATGGCAGTAATAACAGATCTCACAGGACTGTTTGAGGAGTCAGTGGGAGGTGACGAGACAAGGCACACAGAGACATTTCGAGCTCTGCACCCAGATGTTCATTTGCGACTGGATCCTCGCAAAGCAGACACAGTGACATTCCATAAGTGTGTTGCCAGTGAATATTTGAAGTACCTTTGTCTGTGTTGCCAGTTCTCATGTTGGTTTGCTTAACGTGGTTGCTCCCTTGGTGAGAAGCAGTTAGCATGCCAGAAAAGTATTTGTTGAACCCAGCAAGACAAAACCATGCATGCTTTTCTTTTGTCCCAGAGGCTAATTAATATAAAAAACAAAACAAAACATTTGAAGTAGGAAGCACCAAACAAAGATACAAGCAAGCCATCTGGTTAGAATAAAAAATGTCTGGCTGGGCACGTTGGTTCACGCCTGTAATCCCAGCACTTTGGGAGGCCGAGGTGGGTGGATCACCTGAGGTCAGGAGTTTGAGACCAGCCTGGCCAACATGGAGAAACCCCGTCTGTACTAAAAGTACAAAAACTAGCTGGGTGTGGTGGCGGGTGCCTGTAATCCCAGCTACTCGGGAGGCTGAGGCTGGAGAATCATTTGAACCCAGGAGGCAGAGGTTGCAGTGAGCCAAGATTGTGACATTGCACTCCAGCCTGGACGACAAGAGCAAAACTCTGTCTCAAAAAAAAAAAATCTGGTTTTGTTCACTCTTGAATGTAAAACGTGTTTACTTCCACAAAATTTTACGTTGGCATAGGGTTTTAGAGTTTTCATATAAGCTGTTTCCATTCACAGATATGTTTCATTTGATTCTCATTGCAATCCTATGTGATAAGCAACTGCAGTTTTTACACCAAATGAGAAAACTGAAACTCAGAGAAGTTGAGACTCCTTCAGGCCACAGCACTGGTTGGTGGCTCAGAGACTCCTTCAGGCCACAGCACTGGTTGGTGGCTCAGTTCTAACGAGAACCTAGGTCTCTGGGTTTGTGGTCTAGCCCCGCCCTTCTGGTCTGGCATCTGGCGTCCACATTGCCAGTGCTTAGACGGCTCCCTCACATTGAACCTGTTACGACAACAGCGATGTACACACAGTACCTTAGCTCATTCACCAAAATTACCTGTGCATCCAGAGCCCCATTTTCCTACCAATCACATCTGCATGTGGTGGTGCTTTTCCAGTTAGAAAACAAAACTGGTGTCCTGTGTGCTGTCAACCAAACAAAACTTTTCATGCAGTAAGCGTTGTTCCATTTTATGTGGCCGACAGAGTTGTGTTAACAAAGTATTTGGTCAGCATAGAAAATCTCAAGGGCTCTAGAATTTACAGTGGAACTTTGAAGTACTGTATCTTGAACTTGTAAAAAGGAGGGGGAACCTCAACTGTACTCAGGAAATAGAATCTCAAGTGAGTTTATAAAAAGCTGTGATCTCGGTGGACTTTCTGGGCCAGCAGACAGTGGGAGCAGCCCAGGGGCTCTAGGGAGAGTCCCCTGCTGAGTGTCCCTGGCCCCCATGGGAAACTTTCCATTAAAGGCCTGGTGGATGGGGTGGGGGTAGTGGGGATGCTAAAGACGCATTTCCTGAGCTTGTTTCTGGTTGATACATTGATGACTCAGACAAGCGTCTTCTTACTCATCTAGTTCGAGCTGCTAGGGAAGAAAGCATTCAAGACCTGATACTTATCTGAGGAGTGGCAGGAAGTCTGGGGTGACTTTTCTCAAGGTGGGGGGACAAAGAGAATGAGAGGAAAATGAAACAGAGTGTAAACCAAAAATAAAATTCCAAGTCCGCCTACCATCGGAATGGACCCCTCCTCTCAGCCGAGGGCATTCCAAAGTCAACCTATGAAACTACTTCAGGCCATGAGAGGAAGGGGAGGGTTGGCCACGTCTCATTACCATTAACATCAACATGGACCTTAAGACTGAAAGAACAGGCCGGGCCCTGTGGCTCTCGCCTGTAATCCCAGCGCTTTGGGAGGCTGAGGCGGGTGGATCACTTGAGGTCAGGAGTTTGAGACCAGCCTGGCCAATGTGGTGAGACCCCATCTCTACTAAAAATACAAAAATTAGCTGGGCGTGGTGATGGGCGCCTGTAATCCTAGCTATTTGGGAGGCTGAGGCACGAGAATCTCTTGAACCCAGGGAGTGGAGGTTGCAGTGAGCTGAGATTGCGCCACTGCACTCCAGCCTGGGTGACAGAGCGAGACTCTATCTCAATTAAAACAACAACAACAACAACAGCAACAACAAAACCTGGCAGAACAGACTCTTTAAGTCTGATAAGAAACATCTACAATCTGTTCTCTCTGAAGCCGCCTACCTGGAGGCTTCATCTGCATGACTAAACCTTGGTCTCCACAAGCCCTTATCATAACCCAGACATTCCTTTCTATTGGTTCCAGGTTTTTAGATAATAACTCAACCAATTGACAATCAGAAAATCTTTGAATCTGCCTATGACCTGGAAGCTCTCCCTCCTACACTTGGCTCCCAGTTGTCCCACCTTTCTGGACCAAACCAACATACATCTTACCTGTATTGATTGATGTCTTATGTCTCCCTAAGATCTATAAAACCAAGCTGTAGCCTGACCACCTTGGGCATACGACATCAGGACCTCCTGAGGCTGTGTCACAGGCATCTCCTTAACTTGGGCAAAATAAATTGTTAAATTGATTGAGACCTGTCTCAGATACTTTTTGGTTTACAAGAAGGAGAACTAAGAAGAAAGTACATTCTTGACCTTGGATTTGCATTCCATTCCCTTGCTTGATTAAATTGGTTTCTCTGTGTTCATTCAAATAAATGACAATTGTAGCCTCTCATATACTCAATAGAGTGGAGAGAGGGGAGGTGCTCACAGATGTCAAGACTCTCTGGAAAGAGACGACATGCAACCGTGGGAGAACCCATGGGCTACTCAGAATGGAACTTGTTTGGGAAGGTGCTATTTATTCAGCATCTTCCTGCACAGAGTCCACGCCCCACTACAGAGGCAGCTACTCCCAGGGCCTACACGGGTTCTGAGCATGCACCTCTGGGACACACATCTCTGGACAAGGTCACTCAGGTGCAGTGAACAGTCCCTGGTCTCTGCTGGCTTTGAGATTTTTTTTTTTTTTTTTTGGAGACAGAATATCACTGTCGCCCGGCCTGGAGTGAAGTGGTGCAATCTCAGCTTACCGCAACCTCTGCCTCCCGGGTTCAAGCGATTCTCCTGCCTCAGTCTCCCAAGTAGCTGGGATTACAGGCGCCTGCCACTGCGCCCAGCTAATTTTCTGTATTTTTAGTAGAGACGGGGTTTCATGATGTTGGCCAGGCTGGTCTCGAACTCCTGACCTCGTGATTCACCCGCCTCGGCCTCCCAAAGTGCTGGGATTACAGGCTTGAGCCACCACGCCCAGCCTGGCTTTGAGATTTTGCTGGCTTATAGCCCCATCTCATTCACTGCCAAATAGACACTTGTTAGTCCAAGCAAGACTGCCAAATTTCCAAGAAGGAGAATTTACAAGTCAAGGGGGCAATGTCCATCTGACATGGTCTTCATCCTCATGTTCCTAGGGGCCACTAAGAACAACACTACTAATAATAGTGATAGCAACAGCAATAACGGTGATAACAGCTTTCTTTACTTATGAACTCTCTTCATGTCCCTTCCCAACATTTACCCCCATTCTCACAGGGCTAGAGAGGAAGACGAATGGCCAGGGAGGGGCACTGAACTCGCAGTTAGGAAAAGGCAAACAAAGAAGGGAAAACAGAAAGGTCGTAAACCAGCATGGAAGAGAGCTTGCACTCCTCCTCTGTGTGCAGTCTCTTCTGTCACAGTGTGAAACTGCATTGTTGAGTTTCATCACACCTGTTTCCTGGAGCAGCTCTTGGCTCCCAGCTGCCTTCCTCTCCCAAAATTCTACCACAGCAGGGCTTTTAAAATCACTGTAGTCATCATACGCTTCAGGTCAAGAGCCCCATGGACACGTGAAGCACTTACTCACTAGTGTTATAAGCATTTAGTGAAAGCTGCCATCAGCCAGGCGCCCTGCAAGGGCTAAATAGGAGAGTCCTTGATTGTACAGGCTAGTGCAAAAGATGAGGGCCCTGGTCAGTGGCACAGTGGGAGAAGCGGCTGGCTGTGGTCTGGACAGGCTGCTATGGGACAGAGAGGAAGAGCACCACACCTGCCTTGGTCAAGGGCTTGGCTGACATTAAAGACAATAAATCAGGCTGGGCGCGGTGGCTCACGCCTGTAATCCCAGCACTCTGGAAAGATGAGGCAGGCAGATCACCTGAGGCAAGGAGTTTGAGACCAGCCTGGCTAACATGGTGAAACCCCGTATCTACTAAAAACACAAAAATTAGCCAGGCGCAGTGGCACATGCCTGTAATCCCAGCTACTCGGGAGATTGAGGCAGGAGAATCGCTTGAACCCGGGAGGCGGAGGTTGCAGTGAGCCGAGATGGCACCACTGCACTCCAGTCTGAGCAACAGAGCGAGACTCTGTCTAAAAACAAACAAACAAACAAACAAACAAACAAAAAATGACGATAAATCTGCGGTGTGTCCAATACACCCAGCCACAGCAGCCTAGGCGCAGTGGCTGAACGGACTTAAGACAAGAGCTTTGCAGGCTGAGAGTGCAGACGGATAGGAAGTCAAGAAATTCCAAGCATTGGTGAGGACGGTTGCCTTTGTGCTTCCTGGGGTTAGGTTAGAGAGGACTTCAAGAAAAAGAAGGGATGGAGGAACCACAGGCTCAGCGATCACTCCGCGGATTTGGAAACGAGGCCATGTGAGAGTCACAAGGGAAGGAGGTGGCGGTCAGACGTGGCCACAGACATCAAGACCGGGAGCTTGTCAAGCCTTTGGGTGGCCTGGTTTGGACCCTCCTCAACATCAACTCCCCCATTTGCCTGACTGCCCCTCCTCCTCATTATTCCTCCCTGTCTCCTATTCAAATCTCACCTGTCCTTCAAGGCTGAGTGCAAATCCTCCCTCTCTCACTCTCCCCAGCTTTTTTAGCCCACCTGCATCTCTGCTTCCTGCTGCTAGTTATCACTGGTTATCACTCCTAGTGAACGAGTGGTAGTTGTCACTCCTAGTGAACGACTGGTAGTTGTCACTCCTAGTGAACGACTGGTAGTTGTCACTCCTAGTGAACGACTGGTAGTTGTCACTCCTAGTGAACGACTGGTAGTTGTCACTCCTAGTGAACGACCGGTAGTTATTCACTACTAATTTCAAGTATTCCCTTTTCCTGCCCAGTTACAGTGCAGACTCCTCCAGGGTGGAGACGTTTTACTGTTCATGTGTCAAGCACAGTGACAGGCACACAAGAGATGCTTAAGAAATATTTAACTATTGGTCCTGGCTATGCTACTAGTTAGTTGGATGCCTTGGACAAATTATCTAGTCTCTCTAACCCCCATATCTTCATGCATTCAATGGGGCTAATCGTACCAGCAGTGACGTGCACCAGCCAGAAATGCAGAAAACCCTGAGGTGTGTTGTCCTGGATACCAAATGAAGAAAGTGTTTCAGGAAGGAGGGCGAGACCAATTGTGCCAAGTGCTATCAAGAAATGAGGCCTCAGGCCAGGCACGATGGCTCACACCTGTAATCCCAGAACTTTGGGAGGCAGAGGTGGGCAGATCACTTGAGGCCAGGATTTCGAGACAAGCCTGGCAAATATGGTGAAACCCCGTCTCTACTAAAAATACAAAAATTAGCCTGGCTTGATGGCAAGCACCTGTAATCCCAGCTACTCAGGAGGCTGAGGTGGGAGGATTGCTTGAACCCGGGAGGTGGAGGCTGCAGTGAGCTGAGATGCAGCCACTGCACTCCAGCCTGGGCAACAGAGTGAGATCCTGTCCCAAACAACAACAACAATAGCCAAGCGTGGTGGCACACACCTGTAATCCCAGCTACTCAGGAGACCAAGGCACAAGAATCGCTTGAACCCTGGAGGCAGATGTTGCAGTGAGCAGAGATTGCGCCACTGCACTCCAGCCTGAATGACAGAGTGAGACTCTGTCTCAAAAAAAAAAAAAAAAACAAGAAGAAAAGAAAAAGAAATGAGGCCTCAGATCTAACAAAGGGAGGGTTGTTGCTGACTTTTACGAGAGCAGTTTGGGTGTTGTGGTGGGGAAAGAAGCTGACTGCAGTGGTTAGAGAGAGAATGAGAGACTCTGGAAGAATGCAGGAGCTTACTTTTTAGAGTCCAGTTCCAGATGGATTAACTAGGTAACAAAATCCATAGCCCATGGGTAGCATTTACAAAGCAACACGGTGATAAGGAAGGGTGAAGGGACACACCACCAACTTGTCATCTTTGTGTGGCAGACAGCAGAGGAAAGGGGCAGAGCATCTCACAGTGTGGGAACAGGAAAGCCCCAGCGCTAACAGGCACTCTAGAAGGCACTGCAGGCCAATGTAAAAACAGCAGCAAAACTGGGAGGGTTTTTCTTCCTTTAAGTTAAAGACTAAGCCAGGCGCGGTGGCTCATGCCTATAATTCCAGCACTTTGGGAAGCCAAGGCGAGTGGATCAGGAGGTCAGGAGATAGAGACCATCCTGGCTAACACGGTGAAACCCTGTCTCTACTAAAAATACAAAAAATTAGCCAGGCGTGGTGGCGGGCGCCTGTAGTCCCAGCTACTCGGGAGGCTAAGGCAGGAGAATGGTGTGAACCCGGGAGGCGGAGCTTGCAGTGAGCCGAGATCATGCCACTGCACTCCAGCCTGGGCAACAGAGCGAGACTCTGTCTCAAAAAAAAAAAAAAAAAAAAAGTTAAAAACTAAAGGGGCTAGAAGAGCTAGACCCTAGGAAATTGACCGGGCTGTCAGGGCATCACACTGGGAAGACAGTGCTGAGAGTGGGATCAAACTTAAGCAGGATGGAGCCCGGCACGGTGGCTCACGCCTGTAATCCCAACACTTTGGGAGGCTGAGGTGGGCAAATCAGTGAGGTTGGGAGTTCGAGACCAGCCTGGCCAACACGGTGAAACCCCATCTCTACTAAAAATACAAAATTAGCTGGGAATGGTGGCGTGCGCCTGAGTCACAGCTACTCGGGAGGCTGAGGCAGGAGAATTGTTTGAACCTGGGTGGTGGAGGTTGCAGTGAGCTGAGATCATACCACTGCACTCCAGCCTGGGTAACACCATCTCAAGAAAACAAAAGCAAACAAACAAAAAAATGTAAGCAGAGACCAGGTAAGAGAAGGCCCAGATATAGGCGGGGGGTGGGGAGAGAGCCAGGAAATCTCAAAAGCAAATTGCAATGCTTTTTTTTTTTATTTTTGAAGATGCAAGAGTGTTTTGTTCTGCTGAAAGCATATTTACTGGCAGTCTAAACACAAGAACCTAAACAACTGCTTTTGGAAAGCATAAATAACACACGATCGTAATTTTGTAAGACACAACTCTCAAGATATTTGAACCAACTGTCTGTTTTTTCTGATTGCAAAATGATTCATATGCCATACACTTTGACAGAAAATTTCTTTTACTAAAAAGATTTCTTCTAATTTACCTTACATTTTGCTATTTTTAAAACAATACTGGGCAAAAATTATGTGCTATATAAGTGTTAGCTATTATTACTTTAGTATTACCCCTTCCACTAGATAAAAATTTCACTTCTTTAAACTACTGTTTGATGTAGTAGATATCTATTCATATTATTTTAGGGAGGCATTCTTTAATGAAGACACATCAGAAAGGAAAAGTGGTCAAAAACATAGCTTATCTGAATTTTAAAATGAACAAAAATCCATAAACATCAACTAACTTCTGTACAGAGCATAGTAGCTAATTATCCAGCCTGCACTTTCTAATAGTAATAATATCATCATAAATGTGCACAGTGCCCTCACTGTCAAAGTTCTTTAACTAAAGTAACAGGAACCACTCTGACTTAACCTAAACCCAAAGGAAGAATTTATTATGAAAATATAGTTATGTCATGTGAATCAGAAAAGGGACTGGAACCAGAAATAGACAACTGTCAGGAACTAAGAGCTCCTGTCTCCTTGTCACTCACTTGCTTTATTTTTCTCTTGGGAGACTGACTGTCCTCTGCTTCTCCACCCATATACCGAATAAAGCTACCTCTCTACTTCCAAATTACAAATACAGTTTTAGCTGTTATTTCATTGCAGTGAATAGAATTAGACTATCACCATTTTGCTCCCCCCCATTAGAAATGAGTGGACCCAGGTAATAATGAGCATGAATTCCAATGAATAAATGAGAAAGTAATGATGAAATTAGAATATCACCATTTGACCCTCCCTAGAAATTAATGGGTCTAGGCAGTAATCATCAATAGCTCCTAACATCACAAAAAGTGAGACAAGCAGACATACACTCCCGATGAAAGATCACACCACCACCTATTGTCTTGCCAAAAGGATTGAACCTAAGTCTGATCAAGCATCTGACAATCTGCAGACAATTTAGAGGACAAAGGAGTGTGTAGTGCTGTACAATGAGTGTGCAATCAGCAAGATCCAGACTGTGGGAAACTACAGATCTAAAGGCATGGGTTCTTCAACAGACCAAATGCAAGGAAAGGAAAGGGATGGAGAAGAAAACTATAGATAGAAAAATGAGCAGCACCAAACCTACAATGACTAGGAATGCACTCAAGTGTGATAAAGCTATTAGAAATGCAAGGAAGAGACAACTACAGATGCCAGGTTAGTGGTTGCTTTTGAGGAGAGAGAGGAGGCTATGATTGGGGCAGGTGGGGCTCCTGGGGCTGCTGGTAAAGCTCTACTTCAAGATCTGAGTGGTAGTGACAACCAGGCTCACCTTAGAGTAACTCCTTGAACTACATATTGCTTGCATCTATGTTTTATTTTTACAATATAAAGATAGGAAAAAAAATGGAAGATGAGAGAGGAGGAAGTGGAGGCAGCAATTCCAGACAACCTTGATGAAGAGTTAAACTATAAAGGGAAGGATGGGGAGGGGATGGCAGTGAGAGAGGGATGCAGGGTTGAGGGAAAGCTTCATTTTGTTTATTATTTTTAAATTTTTTTGGAGAAAGGGTCTAGCTCTGTCACCCCAGGCTAGAGTGCAGGGGCACGATCATAGCTCACTGCAGCCTTGAACTCCCAGGCTCAAGTGATGCTCTTGCCTCGGCCTTGTGAATAGCTGGAACTACAGGTGTGTGCTAATTTTTAAATGCCATGCCTAGAAGTTTTAAATTTTTTGATAGAGATGGGGTCTTGCTATGTTGTCCAGGGTGTTCTTAAACTCCTGGACCAGGTTTTACATTTCTAGCCCAAGACATTTAATGCCTCTCTTTGATCCTCTAATAAACTCCCCTATGTTACAAAAACCTAGCCAGTTACATTCCCTCAGATGTTGTCCAGGCAAGGTCAGGGTCAGTGGCTATGGTGGCCGACCTCCAAGATGGCCCTCATTCTCCCCACTGCCTGGTCTTCCATACTTGGGCAGACCCCTGTCACACTGCAAGAGGGATGGCCCGAGACTGATGGTATCAACAGAAGCGATACTTGTCACTTCCAAGATTCGTTTATAAAAGACTGTGGCTTCCATCTTGGTCAGTCTCTCTTTCTCTCTCTCTCTCTCTCCTTTGACTTGCTGTGGAGGGGGCCAGCTGCTAGATCTTGAAGACACTTAGCCATCCCTGTAGAGAGACCCATGTCGCGAGGAACTGAGGCCTGCTGACAACCATGCGGGTCCTTCAGCAGGGATCCTTCTTTGCCATCACAGAAGACCACAGCCCCGACTAATGTCTCAGCAGCAACCTCATGAGAGTCCCTGGGTCCAGGGACCACCCAGGAAAGCTGCTCCTGAACTCCTGACGCACAGAAACTGTGAGAAAATAAATGTTCATTGTTTTAAGTGGCTAACTTTGGGGATGATTTGTTATGCAACAATAGAGAACTAATATGGTGGCTTTCTAACTTCTAACCATGACCCATAGAAAGAAACAGATTTTACTCAGCATCCCAGTACACCAGCCCATGCACACTTAGACACGCATACACATGTGCACACACACACGCACACATGCTGGCATGCACTCACCCATGCACATACACAAACATACATACAAGTATTGCTTCATGAAACAATACTTACTCCTACTACATATATTCTCCTCACTCTGATATTTTCTAGATTATTGTTTGCTATTTCAACATGCCATTTAAAAGAAAGTGAGAACAGCAAGCCACTAAACTAACTTCACAATCCATACACAGGGTGTGGAGCAGCGTGCAGAAGACAAAGAGGAACAAATCGCAATTTCTCGTAGTTTGTCTGTCATCAGTTGACATTTCAGTAGCCATGATCTTCACTGGCTCACCTTCAAAGCCAGTTTAGTTTTCTTTTGGAAACTAGCCCCTTCTGTATACAGTAAGTACCAAATAAGTGCTGTATGATCCCTGTCCTTTACTATGATAGGCACCAGGAGACCAGATGACACTATGCATTATTTTTCTCTGTGTAATGTTTCATAAAGTATTTATTTATTTATTTATTATTTAGAGATGGAGTCTTTCTCTGTCACCCAGGCTGGAGTGCAGTGGTGCAATCTTGGCTTACTGTGACCTCCGCCTCCTGGGCTCAAGCTATTCTCCTGCCTCAACCTCCTGAGTAACTGGGATTACAGGCATGCACCACCACGCCCAGCTAATTTTTTTTTTTTTTTTGAGACGGGATTTTGCTCTTGTTGCCCAGGCTGGAATGCAACGGCGTGATCTCGGATCACCGCAACCTCTGCCCCCCAGGTTCAAGTGATTCTCCTGCTTCAGGCTCCCAAGTAGCTGGGATTACATTCATGCACCACCACACCTGGCTAATTTTGTATTTTTAGTAGAGACGGGGTTTCTCCGTGTTGGTCAGGCTGGTCTTGAACTCCCCACCTCAGGTGATCCACCCACCTTGGCCTCCCAAAATGCTGGGATTACAGGCATGAGCCACTGTGTCCAGTCTTCATAAAGTATTTTAGTCATATACAATTTAGAATAATATGATGAAAATATGTGTATTCATATTCCGACTGAGAAATAAAACATTAGAAACGCAGACGCAGCTCTTGTGCTGCAATGTGAATGTTTATGTCCCTCCCAAATCCACGTACTGAAATCCTAACTCCCAAGGTGATGGCATTGGGGGTGAGGCCACCAGCAGGTGACTAGGTCATGAAAGGGGGGCCCTAATGAATGGCCTTAGTGGTGCCCTTATAATAGCGTCCCCAAAGAGACCTCTTGCCCTTTCTACCATATAAGGACTTTGCAGAAAGATGTCTGGCCGTCTGTGAACTAGGAAGTGAGCCTTCGCCAGACACTCAACTTCTCAGCACGTCGATCTCAGACTTTCCAGCCTTCAGAACTATGAGAAACAAGTTTCTGTTGTTTATAAACTCCCAGTCTATGGTATTTTGCCAGAGCAGCCCCAAACAGACTAAGACACACCATGTAACCCTCCCCAGTCCCAATTCCCTCTCTCCCATTATAGAGGTAACCTCTGCCCTGAACTTTTCATTTCTCATTCACTATGCATGTTGTAGCTTTCTTATGTATGTACATAACATAACACATGTAGGTATATTTTCACATAGGCTTATGTTTTATACACATGGGGCCATGCTATACATATCCTTTTATAATTTCTTTTGCTCAACATTACGCTTTTGAGACTTACCCCTGAACTCTAGTTCATTCATTTTAACTGTTTTATGTCATTTCATTGTATGGATTATACCAACAGTCATCTGTTTGTTCCTCTTGTTTGCAGTCATTTATATTTTTTTCTATTACAAACAAAACTCAATGAACATTCTTACACGTTTCTAGTGAACACTCTCTCCAGTATATAACCAAATGTTAAACTTCTTAAGGGAACAAGATCCAATATCTAAACAATCCTGGCAAGCAGCCCTTATTGGTTTTAACTTTGTCCCATCTTTAGATTCCAGCCTACACGCCTGGATCTGTTTCTGTTTAGTCAACAGAGTTTTCAAGAGGGGACAAAAAGTCAGGTTAAAAAAACAAAAAAACAAAATTGGAAACATCTGCTTCTCTTTAAACTGGAGATGTGAAGCAAGACTGAGGAAATAATGAATATTAGTCATTGTTAATAGTAGCTGGAATGTGTTGACTCAAATGATCATAAACTCTTCTCTATGTAACCTGCCTATTAAAATCTATGAGTAGTGGTATTTGTTCCCATAATTTCAGGAACAAAAGGTTGCCTTGCCTAGGTTTATCGAAGCCAGGAGTCAGCAACTTTTTCTGTCAAGAGCCCACATAGTAGGCTATTTATACTTTTTTTTTTTTTTTTTTTTTTGAGACAGAATCTCACTCTGTCACCCAGGATGGGGTGTAGAGTGATCTTGGCTCACTGCAGCCTTGATCTCCCTGGCTCAATCTTCCTACCTCAGCCCCCCGAGGAGCTAGGACTACAGGTGTGCCACACCACACCCAGCTAATTTTTCTATTTTTTGTAGAAACAGGGTCTCGCTATGTTGCCCAGGCCGGTCTCTCAAACTCCTGGACTCAAGTAATCTGTCCACCTCGATCTCCCAAAATGCTAGGATTACAGGCGAGAGCCATGGCACCCAGCCTATTTATGCTTTTTAGGCTGTGCAGAGCTTACAGTCTCTGTCACAACTACTGAACTCGGCCTTTGTAACACGAAAGCAGCCATAGACTATACATAAGCATGGCTGTGTTCCAATAAAACTTTATTTACAAAAACAGACAGCCAGATTTGGCCCATGGGCCATAGTTTGCTAAGCCCCATTTTAAGCAGAAGAAAATAATTTAGACTAACGATATATGCTACTATACATCAAAATTTAAATCTTAATCTGATATTTTCTCTTTTTTGATAGACAACTACTCTAAAAACTAGTCTTAGTGAGAGTGAAGATAAACAAATATTTTCAAATGCTGTTGTAGGAATGGAGCTGATGCATTCATTTATTTCTTCAACAGCTGTAAATAGCTGTGAGCCCCACCATATACCAAACACTCCACTGGGTACTGGAAACATACAAAAAAAAAAGTGTACCTGCACCACCCTCAATGAGCTCACAGGTCCTCAATGAGCTCACAGGTCCTCAATGTGCTCACAGGCTAGTGAAGGGGATGGTTATTTAAAGTTTTTAACTGCTTAAAAAGCGATGGGATGAAAATGTTTACTTATCTCTAATTGAAAACATTTATAGTGGCATGAATATATCTGACCAACAACAGCAGCAGTAATTAAAAATAAATAACACAACTGGTTAACTCCAGTCTAAGGTGTCAAATATATTCTTTTTTTTTCTTTTTTTTTTTTTTTTGAGGCAGTCCCACTCTGTCACCCAGGATGGACTACAGTGGCTCAATTGCAGCTCACTGCAACCTCTGCCTCCCAGGTTCAAGTGATTCTCATGCCTCAGCCTCCGTAGTAGCTGGGATTACAGGCACAAGCCACTACGCCTGACTAATTTTTGTATTTTTAGTAGAGAGGGGGTTTTGCCATGTTGGCCAGGCTGATCTCGAACTCCTGACCTCAAGTGATCCACCCACCTCGGCCTCCTAAAGTATTGGGATTATAGGCAATGTTCCCACCTGATGTTCTACCATTTCAAAGAATGCTCTACATTGCAGTCCATGCTCTGATCTCCCACCTCAACAACCCTTAGAACTCTCCATGGAGCCTCCTACTTTCCCGCCTCACCTTCTCTCCCAGGGCCATGTGCTCTGGATTCATGGACAGGGCAGGCAATGGGCCATGTGCTCTGGATTCATGGACAGGGCAACGGGCCATGTGCTCTGGATTCATGGACAGGGCAACGGGCCATGTGCTCTGGATTCATGGACAGGGCAATGGGCCATGTGCTCTGCATTCATGGACAGGGCAATGGGCTACCGACTCCAGATGTCCCACCACCTTACCTCCGGGCACGCAACGGAAGCCGTCTCCCTGATAACCAGGTTTGCACTGGCACGTGAAAGAGCCTGGAGTGTTGTAGCAGAAGGCGTCAGGGTGACATCGGCTTGGCTGGCATTCATCTACATCTGTAAAACAGCCACCAGGCCCAGGGACAATGAGATTTCTTCTGGAATTCGTAGTTTACCCAATAATTTAAGCCACTTACTCAAATCTATGGGAACCTGCTTCTGATCTGGGAACAGTAATCCAAAACTCACTAAACATTAACTATCAAGTCACTAACTCCCCAATATCTATCTGTCGTACTTGCAAATGTGTTTCACTTTGGCAGCAATGTTTTCATGAAAAATGTTTTTGGCCAGGCACCGTGGCTCACGCCTGTAATCCTAGCACCTTGGGAGGCCGAGGCAGGCAGATCACCTGAGGTCAGGAGTTCAAGACCAGCCTGGCCAACACGGTGAAACCCTGTTTCTACTAAAAATATAAAAAATTAGCTGGGCATGGTGACACGTGCCTGTAATCCCAGCTATTCTGGAGGCTGAGGCAGGAGAATTGCTTGAACCCGGGAGGTGGAGGTTGCAGTGAGCCAAGATCGTGCCATTGCACTCCAGCTTGGGCAACAAGAGCTAAATGCCATCTCAAAAAAAAAAAAAAAAAAAAAAAGAAAGAAAAGAATGTTTTCATCAACCTTACAACAGGGGAAAAGATAGGATCTATTTGTATTATAAAATTCTCCCTCCTGTCATAAATGAGAGCTTCAAAACTGTCTGAGTGTTTACTGACAGATTATTAACTGCTAGGCAGAAAACCCTCAGTGAAAAGAAAATATTCACATGTTCAGTAATAAAGAGAAAGTATCTCAGAAATTCTATCTTAGTTGGGACTTTTTAGAAATACTCTATGGTATAATATTAAGTAATTGTGCAAACCAAGAAACTCAGGGTACTCTATTGATGGGCTATCTTACCTAAAATTACCTGTAAGAGAACAATGGCAGCCAAGAAGCTCAAGTCTGAAGGATTCTATTGAGTCATTTATACTTTGACTCCGCAGTCATTTATTCAATCAGAGAACTTTGCTTTTTTGAAGGAGAAGGTTAGAACAAGCCAGTTGAATGGCTACATGTTAATACATCTTATTAAATAAAAGGATAGACTTTAATCTCCATGCATGTCCTCCATGTAAAAGGACAGTTTGTCTCTTTGTGAAAGACAGAAAATATCCCTGGTTCCTAGCAGAGAGCAGGTGTCTAATTGTCACCTGAATGAACTAGTCACCTAGAACAAAACAGTCATCAATGAGAATAGCCCCCAAAAGAAAATGCATAGTTCAAACTACTAGAGAGATATAAAAAGCAACACATTTACTCTGTGGAGATGACAGAAGAATTCTTTCTTCTATTTGGGAGTGAGTTGGTGATTGGCACATGACAGGTACCACCTAGGAAACTTTCTCAGGTTACACACAGGGGAAGATCAGAGCAACCACACACCTTGGCAGGCTTGGCCATCCCCAGAAAAGCCTGGCAAGCAGGAACAGGTGTAGGAGGAGCCTCCTGTGTAGATACACTGGGCCCGCTGGGGTATGTCGCAGTTATGAAGGCCAGTTTCACAGTAGTTGATGGGGCGCTGGTCCACGACAGCTTCAGAACAAAAGGTTGATGCACAGTCTTAGGAAGAAAGTCCCCTGAGCAGGCCACATGCCCCTCCCAGCTCTATAAAGAGAGACCATGCCTGGACCCTAGACCTCTAGGCATGTCCACAGCTTCACCTGCACCCCACTCCTCACTGGGCTGGTACTACTGCTTTCACCGTTTCCTCCCACCTGGGTTCTGCCTCTGATGGGTCTTGGCTGACTGACACCGTGGTTTGTCATTCCACCTGGCTTGACCTCAGTTTCACTCTGGGGGTCTGTCTCAGGCCACTCTCCAAACTAGATCCCCATCACAGGTCCCCAGGACCCAACTTTCCCTTCATCTGGATATGGGGGTGGGACATCTGCAGATGCCACACTTCTGATGGCAACTCTGTTGAGACTGCTTGGAGGAAAGGAGCTGAGACTTCCATGTGGTGTCTTCAGCCTTGGCCCACCCTGTACAGGTGGAACATTCACTACAAATGCCCAAGTCAGTCACCCACTTGCCACCAAGGAAGGACAAATAAATGTTTCTAAGGCAGGGAGACAGCTATGGTTGGAAGACTGTGAGCCTTTGGAGTAGGCAGCCTTGGTATATACCAGGTACCATGGGTCAACCACATGGCCTTAGATAAATTGCCTTATGTTCTTCCCCCCACCCCCTCAACTCTCTCTCTCTCTTTCTCTGTCTGTCTGCACTTAAGGTAGGACAAACTGAAATCAATCTTAAGAAGACTCATGGAGGAAAAACATGAGTCCTCCTTCATCTGGGATAATCCAACTACACAAAGCCTGATGGGAGGGAATGATTTGTGTTCTGACATTGTGAGGATGGGACTCTGTCCTGGCTCTGAGTTCTTTTAGAAAATCAGAAGCAAAATGCAATGGTGCCTTAGGAACCCCAGAGTAACTGAACCAGCTGAAAATCACCCTGTAGACCTCAACCTTTGCCTTCCATCTTGAGGCAACAGCACAAGATGGGGCATTATCAGCTAGCCTCTGTGACACTCACCTCCTCCTCAGCCCTCCTTCCATGAGTTCTATCATCAGGACCCTTAAGAGAATCACAGTCCCATCTACTGGCCTCTCTGTGCTTGGCATACTGGAAGTTAACTGCTACAGCTTTTTGCCTAAGCCTGGGCCCTGTTCTTCCCTCAAGAGAAGAGCTGATGCATGCCATCATGCCCTGCACCAAGATGCCTAGGGGAGGAGAAGTAGGACCTCAAGTTCACCACACTCCATATGCCAGCCCAGTGTCACAGGGCTATGTCCATTCAGAGGGGTATCTACATCTTCACATCAAGCTGACTTATGGGCAAGCTGAGGCCCACCTTTCCTTCACAAAAACATGTTTTGCACATTTCAATTAACTGCAAAAGTTGGTTCCCAGTGGAAAAGAGAGTTATGAGTTTACAGAAAATGCCAAAGATGGAAGTCCACAAACATCCCTTCCCCGATAATGGATACCAATCCTCATGAAAAGAGAATTCCTCCTGGTCAGTCCACAGGCCCTGCCTGAGCCCCCAGCCCCTCACAGTTGGCAGAGCACACCTTGCCCCATTTATTTCTTCACCTTGCCCCATTCTGACCTGCAGGGTAACCTTCCCAGTGCAGGCTTCCGACCTAGAACACTGTTTCAACAAGGAATTCCAAGAGAGATGGAATGACCACTCAATTACTCAGTGACAAGCCAGAGTTATTTCTTTGAATGCGTGTAGGCAGACTTGGTTCTACAGTGAGCCTTCTCTCTGCGCAGTGAGTCTCAAAGGAGCCAATTAAAAGGGGTGAAGATGTTCTCCCTCAAATATGTAGGCCGGGCGTGGTGGCTTACACCTGTAATCCCAGCATTTTGGGAGGCCAAGGCAGGCAAATCACCTGAGGCCAGGAGTTCAAGACCAGCCTGGCCAACATGGTGAAACCCCGTCTCTACTAAAAATACAAAACTTAGCTGGGAGTGGTGGTGCATGCCTGTAATTCCAGCTACTTGGGAGACTGAGGCAGGAGAATCTCTTGAACCCAGGAGGCAGAGGTTGCAGTGAGCCAAGATCGCGCCATTGCACTCCAGCCTGGGTGACAATAGCAAAACCCTGTCTCAAAAAAAAAAAAAAAAAAAAGGGAGGCTAGAGCTCAGGGGAGAGGACAAGAGCCTGCCCACAGCTGGCCTGTGTCCTCCTTGACAGCTCCTGAGGCACCTCCAAGAGCTCCATGGGTCACAGGAAACCAATGATCCGGTCTAATCACTTCATTTTACAGACGAGGAACTGAGCCCCAGAGAGGTTGTCTTCCTCAAAAGTAAATGTCTGAAGCAGACATTTGCCCAGCACCTGTCTTGCATCCCAGCCTGCCCCTTCAGTGAGTGTGGACATCAGGAATGACTGGATCCAGAAACCCAGGTCACCATGCTCCACACAGGTGTCCCAGGATGGATCTCAGTTACTGTGCACATCAGCACCCAAGGGATAAAGTATCCACTGCCCAAGCTTGAGCCGAAGTGTAATGTAAATGGTATGGCCATTAAAATTAAACGTTTGAATCTGCTTAGCCTCAAAAAGCAGAGAAAGAAATCAGGTCAAATACACAGAAACTGATGTTCCCTACTGAGGAAAAAAAAAAAAGAAGTAACTTCAGCAGAGTGAAAATCTCAACTGTGCAGAGGGGACTGGCCTCCCTGAGCTCACAGATGTTTGGGTCACACTCAAAATATGAGAACTGCCTGTTCCCTCCCACCCTCAAGACACCACCTCACCCCACGACCTTGGCAGGCTTACCCAAGCTTTGAGACAGAGCAAAAAGAAAACATTCTAGGGTTTAGCGAACAGTGAGGAAGAGGCAAGAAGATGGTTTGCTGACATGGTACAAGAGGAATCTGTTTTAAATTGGGAAGACATGTTGAGTTCAGATGCGCATTTGACATGGCACCCTCCAGACCTGGGAACAAGAATCTTGAACGACCAGGTCAAAGTGCAGCAGGAGGAAAAAGAGGAAGAATTTAAACAATCTGGCTGTTCGTGGCTGACCCATCCTCATCATCACCCAAATCATCATTCAGCAAGAGCATAATTAACCTAATTAATAGCCGCAACTTACTTCTATAAGGCTAAGAAATTATGCTGCTGCTCGTGGTTGGTAAAATTAAAATCCATAAATAGAATGACCCCAGTTGGAATTTTAGGTGTAACTAAAGTAGAATTCAATCTAAGATAGGTAATGATCCAAAAGTACCTATAAGGTGCTCCCTCAATGTGAACCCCAAGGCTACTAATTACTGGAAGAAACATGTCTAATAGCTTATAGTTATTAAAAGCATAATGAAAATGATTAAAAGAAGTTTATAAGAGGCAAATGTAATGCAAAAGCTGGCAACAGGTGAGGCGATGGTATTACTAGTGTAGGCAATAATGTTGCTTACTCATTACACTTGTGACTCTCCAGATAGTTGGAGGGCAGAGGCTAAGTCTGATTCATCTTTATAAATTGCTCTTCCCAGCACCTTCCAACTTGACCAGACTCATTTTACCTGGGACCAGAACTTTTGCATAAGAGCTAATGCACACCATGTGAATACTGTTTCGAAAAGTTACCTGGAGAACTTACCCACACACGTTCCCTCATCTGAAAACTGGTAGCCCTCCACACACTCGCAGCGGAAGGTTCCTGGGTGATTATTGCAGATTGTGTGGCTCCCACACACTGAGGGTTGTTCTGAACATTCATCAATATCTGCAGCAAAAATTTTTTTTTACTGCAGGCTTTTTTTTAAAGCTCTTCAAACATTACTGACTATAATAAAATAGCATTGTCACCTAAGAATAGATCAATTTTAAAACAAAATTTTCTTTTTTTTTTTCCGAGATGGAGTCTTGCTCTGTCGCCCAGAGCTGGAGTGCAATGGTGCAATCTCGGTTCACTGCAACCTCTGCCTCCAGGGTTCAAGTGATTCTCCTGCCTCAGCCTCCCCAGTAGCTGGGATTACACGTGTGTGCCACCACGCCTGGCCAATTTTTGTATTTTTAGTAGAGATGAGGTTTCAGCATGTTGGCCAGGCTGGTCTCAAACTCCTGACCTCGTGATCCACCCGCCTTGGCCTCCCAAAGTGCTGGGATTACAGGCGTGAGCCACCGCCCCTAGCCTAAAATAAATTTTCTATGTATCAAAAGTAGTGTTAAATACAATTTTTGTCTGTGCATAACTGGAGAGAGTGATCCCCATGCCTTTCTCCTAAGGAAACGTGTGCTTCCCCCACCTCTCCTAGAGTTAATTTCTGAGCCTGGGGCCCCTGAACACGAGTCTTTCCCATTAGATTGCCAAATACATGTTACAAGGACACAGAGACACATCTCTGGACTCTGAATACTGAGAGTCTCTGAATATTAAATATACTTTCAAATCCTAAACTTGAGAGTATATTTAAATATGCTATTATTCGAAAATATTACTTTCTCTGTTACTGTTACAAAGGAAAATTGAACAATTTACAGCTTAATTGTGAATTTTTGAATATTATCTAGGGCTTAATGGACTAAAAGGGAAGTCATTCACTCATGAGATTGTAAATGAACAAAGAGAGTGATGTCCTTTTATATGACAATACTACAGCCACCATCATGGGGTAACGTGGAGCAAACAAACATAGGCTTTGGAGTTGGACATAGCTAGGTTCAAATCCTGCTTCCTTTAGCTATTAACTTGTGTGGTCTTGGGCAAGTTATCCAACTACTCAGCCTCAGTTCTCCCTTTGGTAAATAAGTATACTACTACTCATCTTGAGGGTTCTTCTGCAGATTACGGAAAATGGATGGAGGTCAGAGAAGCACCCAACAATGTTCCAGACACCCAGCTATGATTATACTAACTAGAGATTCATCCAACACCCCAGCCATGGTGATGAATTTGGCTAACTCTGGGAACACGCCCCTCAGATGGCCGCCAGGCTTTGGGGGCCAGGCTGTGGCTACCACTTGTGTAAGGCTGGTGGGCCCAGGCAAGAAACTGAGCTAACCTGTCATTCCCCCTGGTTATGTGGCCACTGATGGGTTGAAATGAACAGTTACACAAGGTCCTTCCCACGTCAACCTCATACTCAGAGTGTAGACAGCTACTTCTGGCATTTCTAAAACCCTGAGATGTGCATGAGGAGGGCCTCCCAAAGTGCTGGGATTACAGGCGTGAGCCACAGCCCCTAGCCTAAAACAAATTTAGACATGTTTTAGACCTAAAACAAATAAGACATGTTTCTCATAATGGCCGAGACCACACAGCTCTTCTCCCCCTCATAAATCTCTTCCCCAGCGCTTTCATATGAATCGTTGACATGTGGGAGTCAAAGCCTCCTATGTCCACCTTCAATGTCCAGTCTAGCCAGGCCTTTATTGGTGAGACAAATGTCCTACTGGCCTATTGGTCAACATTGCACAAGACAAGCATTCTTGATCACATCAGCCTCATAGTTTGTCCTGTACCCAGGCAAATACCCAAACCAAATGCTCTTCAACTTTTAGAGATTATACTGATATGTGCGTGTTCTGTGACGTGTTTAAGACACAAGGTCTCAGGACTGAACCAGGCACTGCCAGAAGGTTCTGGAACAAAGCCCCTCCCAAAGCAGGCTGTTATGCAAGCTGGAGCTGGGGAGGCTGTGGGGGAGGAGTGCACCCAGCACGTTTGGACTTCACAGCTCCATCCATCAGCTGCCGCTGCAACATGGGAGAAAAAAGGGGCTTCCTGTGTCCACTGCCTCTGTGCTGCAACTCTCAGAGGACACTCCCAGCACAGATGTCTGGAAACATTGTACATATTGCAGGGCTCAGTGACTTAGACTGCATTGCCAAAGCACGAGAGCACAGAGCAGCAGTTTTCAATCAAGAAGACAGAGCAAAATCACAGGGGATCTTCTTCAAGCTCTGTTCCTCCCTGGGAACATTTACGCAAGGGGAAGCTGTGTTTTGGAAAAGCTTCTATGTGACCAGGCTCTTCTCTCTAGCCCTACCTGAAAAGCTATTGACAAATAGGACCTCAGGGCTGCTGGGATGATGGAGGGAATGGTTCCCTAGCACAACCTCCACCTCCATGCCGGCTTACACATACACGCCAGACTAGACAACACCCTTTCTTAAGGGACAAGACCCTAGCAATTTCTGAGCTAATAGTCCACGGTCTTTGCAGTTTGGAAATTCTTCCTAATGTATAATTTAAATCTTCTCTTCTAGGACCAGGCACGGTGGCTCAGGCCTGTAACCCCAGCACTCTGGGAGGCTGAGGCAGGCAGATCACCTGAGGTTAGGAGTTCGAGACCAGCCTGACCAACATGGTGAAACCCCATCTCTACTAAAAATACAAAAATTAGCCAGGCAGCATGTGCCTGTAATTCCGGCAATCCGGGAGGCTGAGGCAGGAGAATTGCTTGAACCCAGGGGGTGGAGGTTGCAGTGAGCCGAAATTGCGCCATTGTACTCCTGCCTGGGCGACAGAGCAAGACTCTGCCTTAAAAAAAAAAAAAAAAAAAAAACAAAAACAAACTTCTTTTCTATAAATTGAAGCCAGGTCCTTAACCCTTTCTTCAGTGGTATTGAAAACTGGCAATAACTGTCTCTCATAACATACCACAGTATCTGCTAGAAAATGATTATTCTTATTATTTAACATCTGGTCAACCTCTTCTCTGGAAAGAGATTTCCTTTCACAGGATCACTTTCTAACTCAATAGGAAAATCCTGGATCATTCTTGTCATTGCTGCCTCCTTTTTGACTTTTTTCAGAGTGGCTACTTTTCACATATTTTCAACAACTCTAAGTTTCTCCAATTTTTCCCTTTTATAAAGGCCAGGCTCTTAGAGGAGAAGAGTCTCATTACCAATTTGCTAAATGCCTTCTACATACTCGACGATTACTCAATGAGAGATGAGCCAAAACTATCTCTACGGGCTCTAAATTGAGAAACAGCGGGAGCCATCCTGCCATGGACCAGAGTGAATCACAGAGCTCTGTGAAATCGTCTCCAAATTACTGTGGAGAGTCACTGTGCGACGTCTCACCAAAACCACCCTTGTTTGGGGTGTCATATACCATCATATCAGCGCTGCACACACTGAATCACAAAGGCTCATCCTCATTCTCCTCTAACGCACTTCCCAAGTCCAAATAACACATGAAGTGATCTGCTTAATGCAATTTCCTATTTTAAGCCTCATGTCTCGATACATTAACACTTCAAGGCATGTTCTAGTGACCCAGAACAATAAGTGTCCTGACTGGGAATACACTCGCATTCCACGGAGGTAATAAGTCAGAACAACCACTCACCACAGGACAAAAGCAAGTCTACATGCGACCACCTGTCTTTCTGGACAAGGATATCGGAGGATTTTCTAGGATGGTGCAGATTACATAAAGGATGGCTGGTTGTGCCTTCTGAAGTGAAGCACTCCCACTGTGGCAAGCTCAGGCACCAAGGGCAGAATTAGCCACGAGGTCACAGTTCAACAGCAGCAGACTGGGTTACTTCTGCACCTTATTACTATCCAGGAGGCTTACGAAGTTGAAGCAGAGCTGTGTAATGAGGAGGCATGGATCGGTGAAGGAGCCCCATCCCCGCATGCCAGCCGTCTCACAGCCTGGGAGGGCTCCCGTTCACACACACACACACAGCATCATGCTGCTTTGAACTGGCCAGAGCCAATTCAGCCATTCAAGGCTGTCAGGCTCTTTGCAGGAAATACTGGGAAACTGACGATTGCAGGTGAGTAGGCACTATGTCCCCTCCCTAGCGATACGTTACCAGGAAGGTAAGTCCCAGACTGAATTCTACCACATATACAAAGCTATCAGCAAGCTGGCCAAACATACAGCCTGCACTATGCGCACAAGTTCCTGCCCTCCAGTATTTCAGACACCCTGACAGGCACCTTGCATGAAAGGTTCACTATGAAGCCAACACCGCGAGGCCCTGACAGCAGGATCTTCTAACCTTCATGTTACATCAGCACACCAAATCTGCCATTAGCTGCGGCTGCTGGATTCCAGACCTCAGGCATGATTCCCGAATTCTGAGACTGCTGGGCTTGCCAGATTCTTATATCTCTGTCAAGCAGGGGTAGAGGGAGCTGTTCATTTTCCTGGCCAACCATATGTGAACACACTATTCATCCCACCAGGGAAGCTTACTTCTAGCATTCCTTATGCTCATTAGTGAGCCCTCTCACTAATTGCAGACTTAAACAGCACTGCTCGAAGCACTTGGCATTCTTGCCCTTAGTAGTGGACTGACTTCCCCTTGGCAGTAGATTACAATTTAGTAACAAACAAATATCAAGCTGCCTACATGAAAGTATTTGAACTTAAGTTATAAATAATAAAATAACTGCAACTAGAAGATGGAGTAATACGATGCTTGAGTCAGAGACTTGTGTTCAAATACTATATTTGTCACGGCTCACTTTAATGAGCCTCAGTTTTCTTGTCTACAAGAAAAGAGCGTTGCGAGGCCAAGGCAAGTGGATTGCTTGAGCCCAGGAGTTTGAGACCAGCCTGGGCAACATGGAAAAACCCCATCTCTACAAAAAATACAAAATTAGCCAGGCATGGTGGCACACTTGTAGTCCCAGCTATTCAGGAGGCTGAGGTGGGAGGATCACCTGAGCCCAGGAGGTTGAGGCTGGAGTGAGCCAAGATTGTGCCACTGCACTTCAGCCTGGGCAACAGAGTGAGACCCTGTCTCAAAAACAATAAAAATAAAATAAAATAAATAAATAAATAGGAGAATGAAACTCACACCCATTAGGATGGCCCCTATTTTTTTTTTTTTTGGGAGACAGAGTCTCACTCTGTCACCCAGGCTGGAGTGGAGTGGTGTGATCTTGGCTCACTGAAATCTCTACCTCCCAGGCTCAAGCACTTCTCCTGTCTCTCCTACTCCCAAGTAGCTGGGACTACAGACACCTGCCACCATGCTTGGCTAATTTTTGCATTTTAGTAGAGACGGGGTTTCACCATGTTGGCCAGGCTGGTCTCAAACTCCCGACCTCATGATCCATCCACCTCGGCCTCCCAAAGTGCTGGGATTACAGGTGTGAGCCACTGCGCCTGGCCTCCTATTTTAAAAAACACAGAAAACAAGTGTTTTCAAGGAGATGGAGAAATTGAAATGCTTGTGCACTGTAGGTGGGAACATAAAATGTTGCAGCCCCTGTGGAAAACATTGTGGTGGTTCCTCAAAAAATTAAAGATGGAAAGGCCAGGCGTGGCAGCTCACACCTGTAATCCCAGCACTTTGGGAGGCCGAGGCAGGTGGATCACTTGAGGTCAGGAGTTCCAGACCAGCCTGGCCAACATGGTGAAAGCCCTCTTTACTAAAAATACAAAAATTAGCCTGGCATGATGGCAAGCACCTGTAGTCCCAGCTACTAGGAGACAAGTAGGTGAATCACTTGAGCCCAGGAGGCAGAGGCTGCAGTGAGCCAAGATCACGCCACTGCACTCCAGCCTGAGCGACACAGCAAGACGCCATCTCAAAAAAAAAAAAAATTAAAGATAGAATTACCATATGATTCAGCAATCCCACTTTTGAATATATGCCCAAAAGAACGGAAAGCAGGAACTTCAACAGATATTTGCATACCCACGTTCATAACAGCATTATTTGCAATAGCTGGAAGGTGGAAGCAACCCATGCGTCCACTGATGGATGGATAAACAAAATGTGATATGTACATGCAATGCAATATTATCTAACCTTAAAAAGGAAAAAAAATTCTGACACATGTGACAACATAGGTGACACTTGAGTACACTGTGCTATGTGAAATAAGCCAATCACAGAAGAACAAATATGATTCCACATATGCAATCGTTAGAATAATCAAATGCATAGAGACAGAAAGTGGAATGGTGATTGCCAAAGACTGAAGGAAGGGGGAAATGTGAGTTGTTGTTTAATGGGTACAGAGTACGTTTTGCAAGATGGAGAGTTCTGGAGATGAACAGTGGTGATGGTTACACAATAAAATGAATGCATGCAATGCCACTGAACTGTACACTTAAAAAGTGTTAAAATGGTATATTTTATATTATGTATATTTTACCGCAAACAATTTTTTTTTTTTAAAAAGGAACAAAAAATCCATCTTGTTAGAGTTGTTGGAGAATTAAATGAGATGATGTTGTGAAGCACTTAGTTCAAACAGTGCCTGGGTAAATTATAGCTATTGTTATATTACTGGTGTTATCATTAACAGCTCTGACTTACAACTCCTTTTAAACCTGTGCATTCTTAAGACGGAGTGGAGTGTGGCCTTAGGAATTCTACTCTGCTGCTTAATCAGACAAAAGAATGGGCCAGTACTCCCGAGTTTACCCACGGGAACAGTGAATGTGAAGCATAAATAATTCAGGCCTGGCATGTCCACCAGTATTTATCTCATCCGTGCTTCCTTGCTGCACCCAGTTCTCTGGTTTACAGAACGTGGATGCCTCCTCCTCGCCTGATTTCCCAGCCCCAACAAGTCAGAATCAAAGGCTGTACCATAGCAGGTTCGCCCGTCTCCTCGGAAGCCGATGGAGCACTCGCAGGTGAACTGTGTCCTGGGACCAGGGCGACAGGCCGCGTTGGTGTCACACCCATGAGTGCCGATGTAGCAGGGATTCTGAAGAGCATCAGGGGAGCCTTCTGTGAAGACAGAGACATTGGAACCAAGTGAGTCTTCAGGAGCTCTTGCAGGTTTCCTCCTTCCACAGAAAGTCAACCACAACTGGTGAGCAAGAAGGTGATCACAGAAGAGCAGAGTGGAATGGGACACCAGCCAATTCCTGTGTTGCCCTGGGGCAGGACCAGCATGGCCCCCTCCCTGTTCTTGTAAATAAAGTTTTATTAGCAACCAGCAACGTCCATTTATTTATGTATGGTCTATGGCTGCATTTGTGCTACCACGGCAGAGCTGACATGTCGTGATAGAGACTGTATAGCCAGCAAAACCTAAAATACCTACTATCTGGTCCTTCACCAAGAATGCACTGACTCCTGATGCCTGGAGCCACAGTTGCTATAGGAGGGAGAATGCCTGCCTTCTTTCTGCTTCATAAAGTTAAAGTGAGGACAAATTAATTAGCTAGAGCAATGATTTGGATATGGAGGAAGAATCAAAGACAACCGAAAAAAGGGAAAGATTTTAAGGCTCAGACCAGACTCCAATTACACAGGACCCCTGAGGCTTAAAGATATGGACAAATGTGAAGTCTGACACTGGTATGTCACAAAAGCTCCCTAAACCTCAGCTCCTTCCCGACAGCTGGGAACGCCCACAGACCAGACCGCAGCGCCAGTGATGCAGAGTCACAGGGCAAGCGTTTCTTTTAGGCTCCCTCCCTAATTTTATTCAATTTCCTCAGGCACTAACCACACAATTTCTTTTTCTTTTTTTTTTTTTGAGACAGCCCCTCTCTGCTGCCCAGGCTGGAGTGCAGTGATATGATCTTGGCTCACTGCAACCTCCGCCTCCCAGGTTCAAGCGATTTTCCTGCCTCAGCCGCCCCGAGTAGCTGGGATTACAGCCACACACCACCACACCCAGCTAAATTTTGTGTTGTTAGTAGAGACAGGGTTTCTCCATGTTGGCCAGGCTGATCTCAAAGTCCTGGCCTCAGGTGATCCGCCCTCTTTGGCCTCCCAAAGTACTGGGATTACAGGCATGAGCCACCATGCTCGGCCCTACAATTTCTCTTTTTTTTTTTTTTTTGAGACAGAGTCTCACTCTGTCGCCCAGGCTGGAGTGCAGTGGTGCGATCTCGGCTGACTACAACCTCTGCCTCCTGGGTTCAAGCGATTCTCCTGCCTCAGCCTCCCAAGTAGCTGGGATTTCAGGCACGTGCCATCATGCCTGGCTAATTTTTGTATTTTTAGTAGATACAGGGTTTCACCATGTTGGCCAGGCTGGTCTCAAACTCCTGACCTCAAGTGATCCACCCGCCTCAGCCTCCCAAAGTGCTGGGATTACAGGCATGAGCCACTGGACCTGGCCTACAATTTCTTTCAAGGTTGAATATTAAAGGGTTTTAAAAGCCCTGCCAATGCCAGCAGTAGCCTTAAGAGGGTCCACTCTGTAAGGCACCTCAACAGGTTAGCATTCTGCACTTTACTTTAGATAGAATCACGAATAGGCCTTTGGTTAGAAGAACAGACAGGCAGCTTTTCCAAGAATCAAAAATAACAAGACATTCTTTTTTTCCTGCCAGAAGATACTTTAGCATAATTTTCTTCTACAGACTGAGAGTAAGAGACCAAAAACAATGTCAAAGAGTGGGGTTTTAAAAATGCATGAGCACCTGTGCCCAGCATGAGCTGTATCCCCTTACCCCTCACAGGCCCAATGGAGTTGCTGAGAGCATAGCGCAAGATCTTCTCCTCCTGGTTGTACAGGACGAACACGCTGTCCACCGAGAGCTGCTGGGTGCTGGGCAGGGCTGGCCGGGAGTCATCGTGGACGCATTCCTGGAAGGTGATGGTCTGGCGCCACTGGTAAGTGTAGATGCGTGAAGGAGATGCCCCATCTCGCTCGGGCTCAGTCACCGTGTACTCCCGGGTGGAGGAGGAAGTGATCACTGCAGAGTGGGAAGGATGGAGGGGACAAGGCAGGGAGACAGAGGGAAGATGGTTAAGGATGCAAGAAGCTGAATCAACGGCTTTCAAGGCACCAGTGGTATTCCCTGCCCATAAGGCTACCAGATGACAGACCAGACAGAACAGCTTAAATAAGACCATTTGTTTGTATTGAGACTCATTCTATGAAATACCTGGATTCCCCATATGATCATTGGTATTATTCGTATTATGTGTATTTGTTGCTTTTCTCTCAAGTGGTTCTCTGTAAGTTTTGAAGACGCCCAGAACTAGAGATGAAGGTCAGGTTGAGAGGACACACACTTGGAAAGAGACGCCCCTGAATTCACACTCAGTACCACTCACAAGCTGTGTGGCCACTGGCTGATGACTCAACATCTTTGGTCTCAGTTTCTCACACAAAATAGGTCAAGGTGGGGATCAGACCAGGTAATGTATGTGCAATTTCTGGAATCAAGCAGACTAATAGTATTAGTAAGATAAACTACCATTTACTGAGCATTTACTCTGTCACAACGTGCTAACTGCTTTATATAGGTTATCTCAATTATGATTCAATAAATGGTGATTTCTTTTTCATTTTTTTTTTTTTTTTTGACACAGAGTCTCGCCTTGTCACCCAGGCTGGAGAGCAGTGGCACGATCATGGCTCACTGCAACCTCCGCCCCCTGGGTTCAAGCGATTCTCCCACCTCAGCCTCCCAAGTAGCTGGGACTACAGGCATGTGCTATCACGCTCAGCTCATTTTTTTGTATTTTTAGTAGAGACGGGGTTTCACCATGTTGGCCAGGCTGGTCTTGAACTCCTGACCTCAAGTGATCTGCCTGCCTCGGCCTCCCAAAGTGCTGGGATTACAGGTGTGAGGCACTACTTCTGGCCAATAAATGGTGATTTCTACATACCGGTCTAGACCAAGCCATCCTGCAATACCAAAAAAATGAGATATTAAATGAGTTTCAGTAGCCAGGTTTGGAAAAATTACTAAAGCACTGTGAGCAAGCCTGAACAGAGGAGAGGAGAGACAGTCCTCCCCACTCAGAAGAGGGCCTGCTATGGCCCATACGACAAAACCCTCAACTTCCTGTTTTTTTAAAAAAAAGCATAAAAGACTCTTTATATCTTTGTGCTCTGCTGCAGTTTGCTCCATAATAGAAGCATAAAAGCCAGAGGATAAATAAAAGATCAGTGTAAGCTGCCTCCTGTCCAGCTCCCACACGCCAGAAAGGCCATTCAGCTACAAGCCGGCCGCAACTGTGGTCCTGTTGCTCTTTCCTCCTCTTCTTCACTGTCTCCCAGCTCCCCAGGAGAACTCAACCAAGCCACAAAACTCCAGTAATTGCTTCAACCTTTCCGAACAGCAATTTAATAAGAGCCTTTAAAAAGGTGGCCAGGCACGATGGCTCACGCCTGTAATCACGGCACTTTGGGAGGCTGAAGCGGGAGGATCACTGGAGGTCAGGAGTTCGAGACCAGCCTGGGCAACATGGAGAAACCCTGTCTCTACTAAAAATACAAAAGTTAGCCATGCCTGGTGGTAGGCGCCTATAATCCCAGCTATTTCAGAGGTGGAGGCAGGAGAATCACTTGAACCTGGGAAGCAGACGTTGCAGTGAGCTGAGATCACACCACTGCACCACAGCCTTGGTGACAGAGCAAGACCCTGTCTCAAAACAACAACCAGAAAACAAAAACAAAAACAAAAAAAACGAAGGGATTCTTAACCTGGGGTTTAATGACCCACATATGAGTTCATGTTCATGAATATTATTCAGTGGGTCTCTACATGAGCAAGACACCATCTCAAAAATAAAATAAAATTAAATTAAAAAAATAAAAAATTCCTATTGTTTGACTCGGCACTTCTATTTCTAGGAATTGAGTCTTAGAAAAGAATCAGAAATTTGGCCAAGATTTATGATTAAGACAATCATTTCAACTCATAATAAGAGGAGAAAATGGAAGCAACCCAAGCTTTAGAAAGTAGAAGAATGGTTTGAATTAATAGCCATCCAGTAGAATCACACAGATTCCTTAAAAAGTGTTTTCAAAGACTGCTTAATGAGACTACTAAACATTCACGATTTGACATTAACTGAAAAGGTGAAGATATAACAATGTGGTATGATTGCAATTTTATTTAAATAAAAACTATAAGCATGGGTAACATGGCAAAACCCCATCTGTACAAAAATTTAAAAATTAGCCAGGCATGGTAGTGTGCCTGTAGTCCCAGGTACTCAGGAGGCTGAGGTGGGAGGCTCACTTGAGCCCAGGAGGTTGAGGCTGCAGTGAGCCGAGACTGCACCACTGCACTCCAGCTTGGGCGACAGAGTGAGGGCTCGTCTCAAAACAAACAACAACCAAAAAACTATACATATCACTGTGTATCCATGTTAAATTTCTCAATTTTGATAACTGTACTGTGGCCTTGTAAAAGAATGTCCTTGTTCTTAGGAAAAACAAATGAAGTGTTTAAAGAACGATCTATCATGATATATACAACTTATTCTCAAATGGTCAGTATACATATATATATATATATATATGGAGAGACAGAGAGACAGAGAGAGAATGGTAAAGTAAATGTGGCAAAATGTTAACAATTGGTGAAGCTAGATAAATAGTATGTGAACGTTTTTTGGGCTTTGTTCAGTTTTCACGTAAGTTTGATATTATTTAAAACCAGGCACCAAATGGAGAATAAATGTAGTTTTTAATAGTACATACAGATGTGGCCGGGCGCAGTTGCTCACACCTGTAATCCCAGCACTTAGGGAGGCTGAGCCAGGCAGATCACTTGAGGTCAGGAGTTCCAGATCACCCTGGCCTACATAATGAAAGCCCATCTCTACTAAAAATACAAAAATTAGCCAGGTGTGGTGGCATGTGCCTGTAGGCCCAGCTACTTGGGAAGCTGAGGCAGGAGGGTTGCTCAAGCCCAGGAGGCGGAGGTTGTAGTGAGCTGAGATCGCACCACTGCACTCCAGCCTGGGCAACAGGAGTGAAACCCTGTCTCAAAAAAAAAAAAAAGTACAAATAGATGTATAATAAAATTAGTTTATCATGAAATTATATGTTGGGATATTTCATATACATGTAAATAGATAGATGCTGGAGAAAAAGCTGAAAAGAAATACACTTAAATGTCATAATAATTATGTCCAGGTTTTACAACTCTAACTCATGCGTATTGTCTTTTTTGCACAAAATTCTCTACAAGGAGTAGTGCGTCCTATGTCTATAATTGAGGGGAAGGTGACTGTAAGGCCCGGTGTATTTCCCTCTCCAGATCCCAGAGACAGCCCCAGTTCACGGCTGCCGTGGTGGGTCAAGAGCACGAGGCTAGTGGCCGGTCTGGGGCTGGCCCTGGGACACAGCTGGGGCTCACCTGAGGTGGAGTAGTGGTACAGCTCCGTGTAGGGCTCAATGTGCACGGAGGAGCCGAACGGAATCTGCGGCACGCGGCCCTCCAGCTCCGTGTCGATGGTCAGGTGCCCATGCTCATCGATGCCGCTGAACCGCTGCTTAATGACCAGATTGCCCGGGTGCCCCACGAAGGTCACCTCAGCCTGGCGAGTGAACTCACCCCCTGAAAAACAAGATGAGACTGTCACTTTGCTGACTGGGGAGCGCGCCCTTCTGCCCGCCCCAGGCTCACAGTGTGGAGTGGGGTTGGTGCGAACGCTTCTGCAGGTGCTTTGGTTTGGCTGTAGAACATAGAACTGGTGACACTGAAGACAGAGCTCAGACATCCCTGTGGCCCAACTGAGCCACACGCAGAGGAGAGAAGAGGCTTCCTAGCCACAGCCCAGCATCTGTTGGGTTGGCTCAAGGGTTGTGCTGGAAATAGCGGAGGACAGGGGTTGGACTCCCAGCTGTGCTAGGCTCTGTCTGGGTGAACTTGAGTAAGCTACTTAACTCCTGTGAGCCTCCATTTCCCTGATGATTAAAAAAAGGATACAATCTATGTTCTGCAAATTGTCAAGTGCTCCATAATGCCAGTTACGGTGATGAATATTGAAATAGCTACGTCCTGGTTGGATGGGTGAGTTGCTCGTGGCAAACCATTCCCAGTACCAGAAACCATCCTAGGATCACCTGCTACCATGATGGCTTAGGAACTCCTCTTGGTCTGTGCAAGGCGGCAGCCCCAGACAGGCAGGAAAAATACTTCTCCCTTTTCCACAATGACCTGCCCCGTGACAGCAGGGGTTGACAAACTATGGCCTCAGGGCTAAATCTTGCCAGCTGCCTATTTTTCTACAACCCTTGAGCTCAGAAAGGTCTTTACATTTTTTAATGGTTAAAAAAAAATCAAAAGAACAGTATTTCATGGTATGTGAAAATTATATACAATTTAAATTTCAGTGCCCAGTCAAAAAGTTGTATTGGAACACAGCCATGCTCATTCATTTATATATTGTCTGTGGTTGCTTTTCACTCTGCAATGACAGAGTTGAGCCGTCGCAACAGAGACCATATGGCCTAAAATAATTAGGCATAGCTTTAAATATTTACTATCTGGCCCTTTGCCGAAAAAGTTTGACAACCTCAGCTTTATAGTTAAACAAGTCCCAGGCAAGTATCTCAAAGATAACACAGGACCAGGAGAAATTCAGAAGGATCATTGGAGTAAACAGATTTGCTGCTGTCAGGAATTTGCAAAGACTTCCTCTCCCTCAGCCCAGCTGAAGTCCATGTATATTACAAAATAGCACCAATATAAATTAACTCATATTAAAAAAACAAACTGTGAAAAGCTGTGCAGGGAAGGAGTGGGGTCTGTGAGTTTGACTGCAGCTCAATGATATTTGCAAAGAAAAGGGCATCTGGTTTGCATGAGAGCATCAATATTGTTATAACACTCAGAATATATATGCCTGTGGACTAGGAAGAAAAAACATTAGGCCAAAAAGTAGCAAATCTTTTGAGCAGGTTCAATCCTTTTCTTTTTTTCTTTTTTTCTTTTTTTTTTAATACAGAGTCTCACTCTGTTGCCCAGGCTGGAGTGCAATGGCACGATCTCGGCTCACTGCAACCTCCGCCTCCTGGGTTCACACCATTCTCCTGCCTCAGCCTCCCGAGTAGCTGGGACTGCAGGTGCCCGCCACCACACCTGGCTAATTTTTTGTATTTTTCATAGAGACAGGGTTTCACTGTGTTATCCAGGATGATCTCAATCTCCTGACCTTGTGATCCATGTGCCTCGGCCTCCCAAAGTGCTGGGATTACTGGCGTGAGCCACCATGCCCGGCCTCACTCCTTTTCTAATAGATAGCCTCTCCTTTCTTAAGACGGCCACACTTTATGTATTTATATGCCATAACTTTTGGAGGGGTTACCAGCGTGCAGCCTGGATGGAGACCCTGCTTCCAGCAGTGTTTCCTCTAATAAAGCCTTGGCTAAGGCTCCAGGTTGGCTCAGGCAGTGGGGGAGAAGGCAGGTCTAGGTCGTCGGAGGCAGTGGCTAGGTACCTGTGCCCCAGCACAACAAACTCCAGGTCCTGGAAGTGACCAGCGATGAAGGACACAGACTCCTCCAACCCAGCTGTTCTCGGGAATGGGTCTCCAGCATGCAAAGGTTGGGCTGGTCTTGGCAGGGCAAGGGGAAGGCCACCACAACACCAAGGAAACATCCCTCAAGCCATCTGCCCACGCGTCCAGTAAAGACTGAACCTTCCTCAATAGGGCACAGTCTCTAAAAAACTCCAAGGATATCTAGGCTTCCTAAGACTTCTGAGGATTATGTTTATGCAGCTTAAGTAACTAGCTAGAAATGGCAGGTTCCTTCTCTCTGAGCAAATCCTGAGGAAATATCAAAGATCAGTTTCAGGTTGGTTTGGAATTCAGAGGCAGGCTTGAGATCAGTTTCAGGTTGGTTTGGAATTCAGAGGCAGGCTTGATAGAATGAGGCAAACTGTGAAGTTGTGAGGTTCTACGAGCTGATATCACTTGTTCTGCCAGAAACGCCTAAATCTCCACCACGAAATTGCTCCTCAATCAAAACCCAATTCTAGGCAGTCTCAGTTGCTATATATTAATGATAATATTACATGTTCATTTTACCTCATCATCTTATTTCCAAGACAGAACTACAGGATGCCCTGTCTACAGACAAAAAGGAGCAACAACATGCTTCTAAGTTGTCTGCAGACTCAGAGTTCTCCTTCCATCCATCCCCAGGCCTCCCCCTAGGCACTACTGTGTGACCCACTAATTTTAATGTCGGATATAAATTACCGGTGATGCTGAACCCATTCTTGAATCCGTCCTGCTCCACTGCAAACATCCATCCAATGATGCCTCCAACTGGGGCCAGTGGAAGCAGAGAATATCCAACGGTCTCGGGAATGGTGCTGATGGCTGTGTAGGAGCGCCCGTGGTTCATTACTACGTAAGAGTGGAGGTCAGTGTTCTCAAAGACAATGGGGACCTGGCTGCTCCCC